>NC_000006.12:102949577-103101093 GCF_000001405.40 Homo sapiens | reverse complement strand
TTTGAGTCCAATGTTCGAGGGCAGGAAGCATCCAGCATGGGAGAAAGGTGGAGTCTAGGAGGCTAGGCCAGTCTCACCTTTTCAAGTTTTTCTGCCTGCTTTATATTCGCTGGCAGCTGATTAGACTGTGTGCACCAGATTAAGGGTGGGTTTGTCTTCTCCAGCCCACTGAATCAGATGTTCATCTCCTTTAGCAACACCCTCACAGACACATCCAGGAACAATACATTGCATCCTTCAATACAATCAAGTTGACCTTCAGTATTAACCATCACGAATCGGTTGTTTGATTTTTTCTTGTGAATTTGTTTAAGTTCTTTGTAGATGATGGATGTTAGACCTTTGTCAGATGCATAGTTTGCAAACATTTTCTTCTATTCTGTAGTTTATCTATTTACTCTGTTGACAGTTTACTTTGCTGTGCAGAAGCTCTTTAGTTTAATTAGATCCCATTTGTCAATTTTTGCTTTTGTTGTGATTGCTTTTGCTGTGTTTGTCATGAAGTCTTTGCCCATGCCTTTGTCCAAAATAGTATTGCCTAGGTTGCCTTCCAGGCTTTTTAGTTTTGGGTTTTATATTTAAGTCTTTAATCTCTCTTGAGTTAATTTTTGGATATGGTGAAGAAAGGGCTTCAGTTTCAATCTTCTGCATATGGCTACCCAGTTATCACAGCATCATTTATTAAACAGCGAATTCTTTTCCCATTGCTTTTTTTGTCATGTTTGTTGAAGATCAGAGGGTTGTTGGTGTACAGTTATACTTCTTCGTTATCTGTTCTGTTCCATTGGTCTATGTGTTTGTTTTTGTACTAGTACCATGCTGTTTTGGTTACTGTAGCCTTGTAGTATAGTTTGAAGTCACATAGTATGATGCCTCCAGCTTTGTTCTTTTGCTTACAATTGCCTTGGCTACTGGGGCTCCTTTTCATTTCATATGAATTTTAAAATAGGGTTTCTAGTTCTGTGAAGAATTTCAGTGGTAGTCTAATAGAATAGCATTAAATCTATACATTGCTTTCTGGAGTATGGCCATTTTTACAATATTGATTCTTCGTATGCATGAGAATTGAATATTTTTTCATTTGTTTGTGTTATCTCTGATTTCTTTGAGAAGAGTTTTGTAGTTCTCCTTGGAGAGATCTTTTACTTTCCTAATTTCCTGTATTCCTAGATAACTTTTTCTTTTTGTGACAATTGTGAATGGGAGTTTGTTCCTGATTTGGCTCACAGCTTGACTGTTGGTGTATAAAAATGCTAGTATTTATCCACATTGATTTTATATACTGAGACTATGCAGAAGTTATTTAAGAGCTTAAGAAGCTTTAGGGCTGAGACTATTTGGTTTTCTAGATTTAATACCATGTTGTCTGCTATCAGGGATAGTTTGGCTTTCTCTTTTCCTATTTGGATGCCTTTCTTTCTTTCTTTTGCCTGATAGCCCTGGCCAGAACATCCAATAATACATTGAATAGTAGTGGAGAGAGAGGGCACCCTTATCTTGTGCCAGTTTTCAAAGGGGATGCTTCCAGCTTTTGCTGATTAAGTATGATGTTGCCTGTAGGTTTGTCATAGATGGCTCTTATTTTTGGAGGTATGTTCCTTCAATCCACAGTTTGTTGAGAGTTTTTAACATGAATTGATGTTGAATTTTATGGAAAGCCTTTTCTTCATCTATTGAGATAATTATGTGGTTTTTGTCTTTAATTATGTTTATGTGATAAATCACATTGGTTTGCATATGTTGAACCAAATTTGCATCCCAGGGATAAAGCCTACTTTATTGTATTGAATAAGCTTTTTGTTGTTCTGCTGGATTTAGTTTGCCAGCATTTTGCTGAGGATTTTTGCATCAATGTTCATTAAGGTTATTGACCTGAAGTCTTGTTGTTGCCATTGTATCTTTGTCAGGTTTTGGTATCAGAATGATGCTGGCCTCAAAGAATGAGTTAGGGAAGAGTCCTTCCTCCTCAATTATTTTGAGTAGGTTAGTAAAAATGGTACCAGCTCTTCTTTGTGCATCTGGTAGAATTCAGCTGTGAATCTGTGTGGTCATATAATTTTTTTCTTTTTTGGTTAGTAGTCTATTACTGCCTCAATTTTAGAGCTTGTTATTGGTCTGTTCAGAGATTCAATTTTTCCTTGTTTAGTCTTGGGAGGGTGTATGTGTCCAGGAATTGACCTATTTCTTATATACTTTCTAGTTTATGTGTGTAGAGGTGTTCATAATATTTTCTGATGATTGTTTGTATATCTGTGAAGTCAGTGGTGATATCCCCTTTGTCATTTCTGTTCGTGTTCATTTGAACCGTCTCTCTTTTCTTCTTTATTAGTCTAGCTAGTGGTCTATTTTAATTTTTTCAGAAAACCAGATGCTAGATTCATTGATTAAGACTGGTTTGTCATGTCTCAATCTCCTTCAGTTTAGCTCTGATTTTTGTTATCTCACAACTGGATATTTATCCAAAGGAAAATAAATCAATATATCAAAGAAATATATGCATTTGCATATTTATTGCAGAACTACTCACAATAGCAAATATGAATTCAACCTAAGTATCTATCAACAGATGAATCAATAAATTAAATGCAGTATATATAAACAATGGAATACTATTCAGCCATAAAAAATAATGAAATCATGTCATTTACAGCAACATAGATGGAACTGGAGTTTATTATGTTAAGTGAAATAAACCAGGCATACAAAGACAAATATCACATATTTTCACTCATAAGCGGGAGCTACAATACTTGGTATTATGGATACAGAGAACAGAATGATAGATACCAGAGACTGAGAAGAGTAGGTGGCTGAGAGTGGGAGGATGAAGAGAATTTGGTTACTGGGTATGAATATATAGTTAGATAGAAGAAATAACTTCTAATGTTTGAAATCAGCATATGTTAACTATAGTAAGCAACAATATTTTGTATTTTTCAAAGTAACTAGAGGAGAGGACTTGAATTTATACCAACACATAGAAATGATAAATACTCAAGGTGATGGGTACCCCAAATGACCTGACTTCATCATTACACATTCTATGCATGTAACAAACACTCATGTGTACCTCACAAATATGTAAAATATTATCTATCAATAAAAGAAAAAATAAACAAAGAACAGGTTTTGTAATAAGACGGTGGAGAGGGCTAGACAGAAGGGAAAGTTTAAGAGAAGGGTGAGGAAGGAGGAAGAAAGAAAAAACGCAATATTGTCAATGTAAAAGTTTAATAACCACAAGTAAATCAATATTGCCAAAGAAGAGGATATTATAATGAGTGTAAAGCAAAGGCACAATGAACACATTTGTTGAAATGTACAAATTGCCAAAATAGAATGGAGAGAAATAGAAAATCTGATGACACTATAACATATATAGATAACTTGATTCTCCACTTAAAAAGTTTCCACAGGTCAGAACAATTCCTAGAGAGTGCTCCTGGAGCATAATAAGAAATCCACATGGAACAGGTAAACACAACCATACATTTTTTTAAAAAATGTTTATTGTTGAAATAAAACTAGAGGTGGTATAGGAGATAAAAATATCAAGGGAAATATTAATCCTAAACAGAGATGGAAATATAAATTAAATATTAGCATTCCAGGAATGCTGTGTTGATCCAAATGTAAAAATTAATTGTCTATGAATCTTTGTGTGTAATTTCTTATATTTAGTTAGATGTCAACAATCAATCCTGATTAAAAACAAAACTAAACAAAACAAAAACAAGAAACACCATGTTTCGGCAGGATGTAAAGTGAACAAACTCGTATATACTACTAGTTGTATGGTCGCTTGGTATAATTATGTTAGAAAAGTTAGCATGCACTTACTCTTCAACACAGAAAGTTTACGTTCAGGACTTAACCTAGAGAAATGCTTGTGCTTTGAGCCAGGAGGCATGTAGAGAAATATTCACAGATTTGTTCATAGATGTTTAAAAAATAAAAAAAAACTAAATGCCCAACAACTATAGAATGGATAAATATAAATTGTTATAGTGGTATAAATGAGCTTTATTTGCATAAAAAGTTAAGGAAGTACAACTACGCTTATCAAAATGAAATTTGGATGAAATAGAAATATCTGTGAAATAATGAAAAACAAATAATAAAAATAAAACAAATATTGGGCAAAAAAGCATAGAAATAAATGCCTTTTTAAAAGGTTTTAAAACTTGGAAAACTGAATAATATTAATGCATATGCCACATATATATATGTGTGTGTATATTTGGCAAAACTATTAAAATAAGTAAAAAAAAAATTTACACAAAAATTGGGAAAATGGTTACCAAAAGCATGAAGAAGTAGGTGAACCCATGTGGGACACCTATGGTTTTGGTAATAATGTTCTCTCTCAAGTTAGAGGGCATGAGTACAAGACTTTTATTTTTCTTAAACTGTTTATCTCCATTATATGCTGCATTTAGAAAGTTGTATTTCACAAAATGAATTTTTTAAACTGATTTTAGCTAATATTTTGGAATCAAGGGCATCTAGGTTTTAGCAATTTAACAACCTAAGAAATAAGCCAATGTTGTACGTAAGAGATTCTGTCATTTTCAGAATAAACAGAAATACAGGGGGAAAAAAATAAGACTGTGGATTATCCATTCAGGCTTATAAAAGATATTATCAAAATTATTGTTTCATTTTTCTTTTTGATATTTAATTCTACCTTTCTTTTTGATTGGGAGATAAAAGTGCCTGGCAGATAATTAGTGGAAAAGTTCAAATTTTATTCCATTGAGCCCAAAGTCTTTTAGTATTTATGTCATTTAATGCATTTCTTGTAACATTATAAATGTCTGAAGCACTTTGTAAAGCTCAATTAGTGTCATAGTTATAAAATCATTGTTAACTACTAAAACTATTAGTTGATGTGTTCTTTGATAAATTTTCCTCAAAGTTATATCCATTTAAACTTTTAGTTAATCATATGTAAATGAAGCAAGGCTTAAACTTAACAGAATTGCTGTATAAAAGTTAATCAAAATTAAAAAATTTCTTACAATTTTTATTACAAAATTTATTTATGTGAATGTTGTGAGAAATGTTACTCAAAATGCTGTATAGGTCAGATCAAAATATATCTTACTGGCCTATTCATTAAAAAAAAAAAAGAAAGAAAGAAAAGGAAAAGAAAACTCCTTAATTCAGATTAGTTTTATATGTACAGGATTTTGAAGAGTCTAACATAAAAATTAGAAAACTCATAAAACCTCAGTAAAATATATCTAAAAACTTACATATTTTATCTTCAGTATACTTTCTCTGTAAAGGGCAAATAATATGTATGTTAGGTTTCATACATATGTGGTCTTTGTCACAACCCTGAACTCTGCCCTTATAGCTCAAAAGCAGCCATGGACAATACACAAACTAATGGGTGTGACTATTAGTGTTCTAATAAAACTTTATTTATAACAACAGGTAGCTGCCTGCTCTTGCAGGCCTTCATTTGCTAAATTATGTTGTGGACTTTAATTAGCATGTTTAGTTTTTAATACAATTATAAAGATGATAAAGTTCCGTTGTGGACTTTATTTAGCATGTTTAGTTTTTAATACAATTATAAAGAGGATAAAGTTCCTTTGTGTCCCAAGTATCTTTTTTGACTTTACACTTGTTTTCTGGTTTGTTTCTCAAAATCACTTTTCTTTACTGAAAACTCTTCTGTTTAGGTTATACTAATTGTAGCCCTGATTACTTAGCTTAAGAGCCTCCAATCCACTGTACCTGATTTCAGGCCTATTCCTTTTCCCTTATTTCAGCTACAGTAATATATTTCCAAACACAACATTCATCAAATCTCTCTACATCTTAGTATACTTCATGGTGTCTTGTTGCTTTTTTTTTTTTTTATTGAGACGGAGTCTCGCTCTGTCACCCAGGCTGGAGTGCAGTGGCACAATCTTGGCTCATTGCAACCTCCACCTCCTGGATTCAAGTGATTCTCCTGCCTCAGCTTCCTGAGTAGCTGGGACTACAGGTTCCTGCCACCACATCCGGCTAATTTTTCTTTTTTCTTTTTTTTGTATTTTTTGTAGAGACGCGCTTTCACTACATTGGCCAGGATGGTCTCCATCTCTTGATCTGGTGATCTGCTCACCTTGGCCTCCCAAAGAGCTGGGATTGCAGGCATGAGCCACAGCACCTGGCTGTTGCTTATATTATAATTATGTACCAATGTTCTTTTGTTTAAAATAATAGTTGATGATGATGGTGAGGATGATGATGATGATGATGATGATATCTGAATGCAATACTCATGTGATCCTTAAGATTAATATAAAACTTAATTATTGAAATTTAATGTGTTAAACGTTTAAAATTAAAGGCCAAATGAATGATCAAAGTTTGATGAGTTTGTAATTACCTTGAATTAATGACATTAATTATTGTTCTAATAATACTGTATATTGGCTTATGAGGTATATTCATGAATTATATAATATAAAAGTATTTTTGGATATTTCCAAATATGTGCAGTTGAAAATCGTGATTCTAACATTTTTGTGTGAACAAATGATTTAATATGTATGTATTTATAATTTGCCATACCCTCAACATGTGAACAAGAATAAGTTAAGTAATGTAAGGAAAAACATGGATTTCCACTTCAGGTATTAGGAACATGGCAAGGTCTGGGTGAGTCTGGGGTTTTCTTAAGTATCTATGTTTGTTCCATGCCCATTTCTGTTGGAGTGTATGTCACTGCAAAAGGAATCAATATGTTCACATGTCATGAATGTTTTGGAATGCCTGTTAACATAACACTTACTTTATAAAATGCAATTCTTATTTTCATGAATGAGCATTCTAAGAAATGTACAAGCCATCTCCTTTAACCAATGAAAAAATTATTTCCTGGGAGGTCCCATTATGTACCTTAGAACTTGTAAATAATTTTAAAAAATCTAGAAATAGATGTCCAGTCCAAACACCTATGAATTGAAATAAATTGATAGTTATTTCTAATTTTCTCATTATATTTTGTTTTACATTAATAAAAAATGTAAAATATTTTCTTCCAAGTCAATGGATTTTCATCATTCTTAAATGACACATCCAAGACAAATGTCTATATACAAAAAAAAAAGGTTTGATCTTCACTTGATGAAGTTATGTCAGGAGTTGTTTAATTTTAGAACAAATTGAGGTGCTAAAGAATAAATACGTTGCTTTATGTGACAAACTGAAGTTTAACTCTGATGATCCCATAGCTAATTTTAAAGTAATCTTGTCACAATATTGCATTAATTTGGAAGTATACTGGATGTTGGATGCTAAGGATTGCTTAAAAGCCAAGCAATGTATTCCTAATTAACGAGATGTGGATTCTATTTGTTTTTATTGAAATAATATCTGTTTTGAATACCATTATTATAATCTCTACTGAGACATGCAATAAAATTCTACTGCAGGGCCAGGCATGGTGGCTTACACCTGTAATCCCAGCACTTTGGGAGGCCAAGGCGGGTGGATCACCTGAGCTCAGGAGTTTGAGACCAGCCTGGCCAACATGGTGAAACCCCATCTCTACTAAAAATACAAAAATTAGCCAGGCATGGTGGTGCATGCCTGTAATACCAGCTACTAGAGGGGCTAAGGCAGGAGGATTGCTTGAACCTGAGAGGCAGAGGTTGCACTGAGCCAAGATCATGCCATTGCACTCCAGCCTGGGCAATGGAGCAAGATTCTGTCTCAAAAAAAAAAATTATACTATAAATTATGATATAAAGAATATGATTATAAGGTACTCCACTTATACATTTCACAAAATATATTTCAGAACTAGTTCAACTTGGCATAAGTACTTAAAAGCCAAATTTAATAATGTAAATATATATAGATATTTCAATTATTATAAATATTCTAACAATATTGCTTATAATTTTCTTTAATTTGTGGGAGAAACACTTTATTAATTGGAATTTATAGGGCCATTTAAATAAAAGCTATAATATTGAATTCAATTAGAAGCATTAATTATTCAAAGTTTCTATTGGGGGAACCCACCCCCAGTATTTCAACATAGGTTCTTTCTATTTTCCGTAAGTGTCAGCTGGCTGAGAAATAAAGAGAGACAGTACAAAGAGAGGAATTTTACAGCTGGGCCGCCGGGGGTGATATCACATATCGATAGGACCGTGATGCCCGCCTGAGTCTCAGACCAGCAAGTTTTTATTAAGGGTTTCAAAAGGGGTGGGGGTGTAAGAACAGGGAGTAGGTACAAAGATCACATGCTTCAAAGGGCAAAAAGCAGAACTACTAATAAGGGTCTAACAAAGATCACATGCTTCTGAGGGAACAGGACAAAGGGCAAAAGCAGAACCACTGATAAGGGTCCATGTTCAGTGGTGCACGTATTGTCTTGATAAACATCTCAAACAACAGAACATAGGGTTTGAGAGCAGGGAACCGGTCTGACCACATATTTACCAGGGTGGAGTTTCCCAACCCTAGTAAGCCTGAGGGTTCTGCAGGAGACGAGGGCGTATCTCAGTCCTTATCTCAACTGCACAAGACAAACCATTCCCAGAGCAGCCATTTATAGACCTCCCCCAAGGAACACATTCCTTTCCCAGGGTACTAATATTCATATTCCTTGCTAGGAAAAGAATTTAGCAATATCTTTCCTACTTGCACATCCATTTATAGGCTCTCTGCAAGAAGAAAAATATGGCTCTTATTGCCCAACCCCACAGGCAGTCAGACCTTTTGGTTGTCTTCCCTTATTCCATAAAAATTTCTGTTATTCTGTTCTTTTCCAAGGTGCACTGATTTAATATTGTTCAAACACACGTTTTACAATCAATTTGTACAGTTAACACAATTATCACAGTGGTCCTGAGGTGACATACATCCTCTGCTTATGAAGATAACAGGATTAAGAGATTAAGTAAAGACAGGCATAAGAAATTATAAAAGTATTATTTGGGAACTGATAAATGTCCATATTAATGTGAAATCTTCACAATTTATGTTCTTCTGCCACAGCTCCAGCCGGTCTCTCCATTTGGGGTCTCTGACTTCCTGCAACAAGTTTCATAACATCAACAATGCTTGTCAATTGTATATGAGTACCAAAGTAATCTTATTCATTTTATTTATAAAAACTGTTAATATTTTTGAATATATATGCATACTGTACTTAATTTTTGACAATTTTCACTAAACTGGTCTTACATTAGACCTAAACTTGTAATTCTGGATTACTTTCAGTAATAGTAGTTTTAGTGTTAAATGAGCATATTATATGTTATCAGGAAGGAACAACACACAGTGTCATAAGTGGCTTTTTCTCCTTCAAACATGTAGAATATAATGACAGATAGGCAACTATGTAGGATAAACTAGTTGTAACATATCATGAGAAATGTCTTCTTCCCTTTGATTCCCTTGGGTAGGCTGTTGCTTATAAGATTGCCAGTATTAATAAAATGCCACATTCAGTCTATGTCCCTGAACTTTATTATTGAAGACTGTATTCCTATTGTTTTGTTCTCTTTTTTATACTTTTATTTAAGGTTCAAGGGTACATGTGCAAGTTTGTTTTAAACTTGCATCATCGGGGTTTGTTGTACAGATTATTTTGTCACCCCAGTACTAAGCCTAGTAACCAATAGTTATTTTTTCTGCTCCTCTACTTCCTTCCACCCTCCATCCTCTTTTAGGCCCCAGTTTCTGTTGCTCCCTTCTTTCTGTCCATGTGTTATCATTTAGCTCCCACTTACAAGTGAGAACATGCAGTATTAGGTTTTCTGTTCCTGCACTGGTTTGATAGGAATAATGGCCTCCTGCTTCATCCATGTTCCTGCCAAGGACATAATCTCGTTCTTTTTTTATGGCTTCATGGTATTCTATAGTGTATATGCACCACATTTTCTTCATCCAGTCTACCATTGAGGTCTTCTTTTGAGAAGTGTCTGTTCATGTCCTTTTTCCACCTTTTAATAGGGTTGTTTGTTTTTCTCTTGTAAATTTATTTAAGTTCCTTATAGATGCTGGATATTAGACCTTTGTTGGATGCATAGTTTGCAAATATTTTCTCCCATTCTGTAGGTTGTCTGTTTACTCTGTTGATAGTTACTTTTTCTGTACTTGATATTTATAAAAGTAAATATTTAAAAATATGAAGATCTTCTTGTTTTCTAATAAGCTCTATAGCAGTGAGCCAATAACCCTACAGGGGCAAGAACACCAAGGCAAAGCTCAGTTGCCCCTGGACAAGTCCGGCATCCTGGTTTTCTATGGACTAAATGCCCCCTAACATTTTCCAAACGCTTTTACATAAAAAAATTTAGATATTGGATTTTATATAAAATTATTGATTGTAATCCATTTTCTAACTAAAACCCTCAATTCTTAGTTTATGATCATATATCCATTTATGAAAAGTTAAGTACTTAAAAATCACTTTTTTATATTTGAGCAGCAAGAAGTTACTTTCTATTGCTAATTATGGCTTTTCACTTATCCCACTTTATATTATTGCATTTTTTTGAACATCCTCACAGAATTGTGAGCATTTGTAAATTGAAGTGTTTCTAAATGACTATAAATATTGTTTTCTATGTAAAACAAATTCACTAATTGGCAAGAGTGACCCACTCCAAACTTACTACCAGCAAATATAGATGAAAGTACCATGTATTCTCCCCAAATTAAGATGATCTCATGTCATCTCTAATTCTCTACCCCAAAACCCAAATGAGCCAATAATAAAATATTCTGAATTTTTAAATATTTTAAGTCTATTTTGTTTCAATTATACAAATTGTGATTTCTAGTGTTTAGAACTGCTAATTATTTTTCTATATTCATCTAGTATTCTTGCTTAACTAGCAGCCTTGCTTAACTTTCTTATTACTTTGACATGGGCAAGATTGTTCATTTGGAAGTTACCTTTGAAGAAAATGGGAAGAAGCCCCGGTTAGATTATATGTTTGTCTAAAACAGAGACAATATTATTTAAAACAACTATAATAACTCTCTTTGTGTGATTGTCTCATAATGGAGTTCCTGTATTTAACCTTTGTTCATTCCTTACAGGAGGAAAATAATTAGCATTTTATAATGATAATTTAGATATGTCTAAAACCATCTCCCATTGCTTTTCTTTTTTCTTCTTCTTTTTTATTCTTCCTCCCTTTTCTTGGTAAAATTTGAAAGTTTATTGATCATTATGTACATACACTAGAATTATCTAGTCCTAATAAATATTGAGAAATGTCTAAACAAAAATAAAAGTAAAATATAAACTGTGTAGAAAACTTCTTTTGTTTAAACCAAACTGGAACCTGTAATTGAGTTGATCAGCAATTGCTAACTAGTTAACAGATAAGAAGAACCTGAATTCCAATGAAAGAGGAAAAACTCTCAAAATAATATAAAAGTTTAGTTTATTTACCATAGGTTTATGATTTATATTTAAAGAATAGTTTCCTGTAATATCCCTGATGTAGAGAAGACTTTTTGGGCACATTAGTATTAATGTTAAAGATTTAAAGAAAAATATGTTAGACTTACCTACATTTAGTAAGTGAATATTTTATTTTTTTCAATTTCTTTTTCTAATTTTTTGCTTCAGAAACCTAGCAAATATACATAATAATATGTATGACAACGTTAATAGTACCATTACGTTTAACAGTAAACAATGGGAGAATACTAAGTGTGTATTGTAAGCTTAATTACATGCAGTTTACTCATTTAATGAAATCCTAATGAGCAATAAAAAGAAATAGGTTAGAGCCATTTGTTTAATAAGTTTATACATAGATGATTCTCACAGAGATAAGTATAAAATATTTTATACTCAAGAGGCAGAATAATTATACACATACACATTTACTTTTTGATAATCATTTACAGTATTATACCTAAGAAAATGTAAAGAGGTTTGAGTAGAATAATTTCTTCTAGCAATTACCTTTGGGAAGCTAAGATAATAATATAATTAGAAAGGAATACGTGGTATTGCTAATACTTTTTCTTACATTGTCTGTTGGATATAGATATGTTTGTTGTATTATACTTTACATCTTGTGCAGATCATAAGTATTATAAACTATGTTTTAAAATTAATGTCATTAGTTTTATTAAGTTTCTTGTAATATGGGTTGGCTTAACTGCAAATTACGTCTAAAACATTTCAAATGAATACAAAGTAAAATGTATAAAATGACAAAATTCAAAGCTCAAAAAATTTTAAGAAGGAAGAAGAGAAAGAAAAAAGGAAAAAGAGAGAGAGAGGCAGAGGAAATCATAAGGGGTTAAATAACAGTGTCCTCCTCATTAGTGACAAAAAGACAATTTAATACTTGAAAGGATTTTCTTAAGGGAAATCTTGCATGAAACAAACATGTTTAATTGGAATTGCCAGAATCAATGCAAGGGGATGTAACAGTTGCACTCTTGACAGAACCGAAATTGCAGAACTAAAGTTAAATTCCTTAGCTGTAAAACAGTGAAATGGTACAGTAGTAAGCCATTATGCAAAGCCTATGTTATTCTGAAGAAATGGAATGGGAAATTGGTGCCAAGGAAAAACTGGAAGGATCATTTCATACAATGTATTTTGGCTTTCAGCACTCCATTAAAATACTCCTGGGCCAGGTGCAGTGGCTCATGCCTGTAATCCCAACACTTTGGGAGGCCGAGGCAGGCGGATTACAAGGTCAAGAGATCAAGACCATCCTGACCAACACTGTGAAACCCATCTCTACTAAAAATACAAAAATTAGCTGGGCATGGTGGTGCATGCCTGTAGTCCCAGCTACTTGGGGTGCTGAGGCAGGAGAATCACTTGAACCCAGGAGGAAGAGCTTGCAGGGAGCTGAGATTGTGTCACTGCATTCCAGCCTGGAGACAGTGAGACTCTGTCAAAAAAAAAAAAAAAAAAAAAAAAAAGCCTTGCAGAAAACCTAAATAAAAGTACACATTTAAAAAAATTATATAAGCACTTTTAAAATAGAAAAAAATCAAACTCATGCATGAATACTTAAGATGATAATATAGAAGATCAGATAATATTGTGACTTCTGAATTCATATGGAATGACATGTATTACGATGAGTGTTGGTATGCAGTCATAGTTTTAACTACCCTCTGGTCTGATGTAAGAAAATTAAGATTTAGCTCCTGCATGCCCCAGAATTGAAAGTCTATATTAAAGGCATGAGAAAGCATGCCCTGTTGAACATTTGTTCTTCTTCATTGTAGCAACCACAAGAGGAAATTGAGATCCAAGGCATCTTTAAAATGAATGATGTGTACAATAGGAAAAATGGGGGATAGTTTTACTTCAGATTTTAAGTCCACACTAGGTATGATCTTAACAAACAGGTAACCTTAGGATTGAATTTTCTAGGATGAATGTGGTGTGTGTGTGTGTGTGTGTGTGTGTGTGCATTTAAAAATTGGACTTTAATTTTTAAAGTAACTTTGGAGATGGACTAAATGAATTTGACTTATGTTACATAAGAACAAATACAAATAAAAGAACCTTAATTCTCCCTATTGAAAGTATAGGAAGATATTTTTCCTTATCTTAGAGTATTTACTTTGGAAAAGTTGAATTTCTAAGTTATTCCCCTGTTTCTTGGAAATGCATGTAGATTTTGTAGAAAGCTAAATAAACCTCTTGCAAGCCTTAAGAATAAGGGTTGTCTTTCTCAAGTACCTGGGAACCATCACTTTGAAATGTCATAATCAAGGAAGATAGTGGCCCTACTCTTTCTGTCTGTGGGAAGGATGGAACCTAACTCTGACTGAGCTGGCCTTCAAGTTGCAAAACTAACTCTTGTCATAAAGATTTTAAAAAGTTTATTTTGGGGGCGATAAAGCCAAATAGCTAACACAGGTAGTAAGTGCAATTATCAAGTAAACAGAATAAACTATATGTGGCAAATGGCACTTTACGTAGTCTCATCTGAGAACTAGTTATTTATTGTTTATCTTGAGAACATGTATTTAATGAGTTGTATCTGCTTGGCTGTATAAAATGGTGAGATTTCTTTCTGTCTTTGCAATCTTTTAGTGGATTGCCTGAGATTCATATCACATTCTAGTTAAATGTTCATTTAATAATAAATTATTTTCTTTCTCTTCTCCCTTTGTGAAGAGGTTTTCTGTGTTGGAAGAGTATTTTGTTTTGTTTTTAATTATATTTCCTTAATAATTGCCACAATAGATTTGTTAAATCAAACTAAAATTTTGCCTGAAAAGGCTTCCATGCTCACATACTTGAGATCTTATGTACAAACCACAGCCTAACTTAGTAGGGCAGCAAACTAAAAACCTGATTTAGGAGAATGCTGCTGTAATAATAGTGGAGTCTTAGCCAATCACAGCAGCCATACTTCAACCACTCACAGATGGCCAAATGTTCAAACTGTGCTAAAATAAGTCAAATGCTGAGCTGTAACCAATCTTCCATTTTCTATATGTTACTTTACTTTTTCTATTAATAAATATTTGACCATGCGACAGTCCTGGGAGTCTATCTGAATCTATTCTGATTCTGGGACATGCCCGATTTGTGAATTTTTTTCTTTTCTTTTCTCTTGCTCAATTAAATTCTATTAAATGTAGTATTCCAACATTTTTCTTTTAACAGATTATATATTCTGAAATTATTTTAAAATCTTCAACAGTCAAATTTCTAATTCTAACAATTATTTTGAACATTGTGAATTAGACAAAATTTAATCATGACTTATTTTCTTATAATGCTACGGGCAATGATGTAGGAGGCACTTGTTATGAAGCCATCTGTCTTCTATGTAAATTCATCTTGTAAAATCCTCTAGTTTCTGAAAATTACAAAAATTTTTAAAGTAAATTATGTAACATTCTGAAAATCATTAATTATATTATTTAATCAGAAACTGCTAAATGTCCTTCTTTCACAATGCCTATGTCAAGAAAATAACTAGGTCCTAAGCTAACATGTCACTTTTTTGTTCTCAGGGTCTATTCAGAATGACCATAAACTGTTAAGATGCTACTCTCTATAATGCAGTAGCATTGTAGGCTGATGCTTAAATCATTATGTGTGTTTATCCTTCTAGGCATGAGCTGTCTGAAAGAAGGGTATTATTCCTAGTTATTGTTTGTGAGAATCTTGAGGGAAAGAGAATGAAAGAGCAGACATGAATATTCCATTATAGGCTGTCTCTCCAGTGTGCAGCCTCTTCCAGAGACTGACTGTATTAAAAATTATTTTAAAAAATGGAAAGGCAATGAATCTGGTTGATCAAACTCCATCTGAATATATTTTGGTTATTTATATTAAGGATATTCTGTCAAATACCAATGTAATATTAAATATCAAATTGCACATTAAAAAAGATTTGGACATGCTGACATTTTGGTTGTTCAACTCTCTTCAAATTATTTTTAAATGATTTACCCCATTTCTAACTCTTTCAGTGTCTGGGTAATAAAAATAGCAAAAACCTATAGATACCTGGTGCAAAATTAAAAACCTATGCTTATTTCTTGGAAGTTAATAGAAAGAATAAAAGAAAGAAGTATACAATAAATGTATTGTGATAAACAAATTTTAATTTCATTAATATTTTAGAGTATATAATTAAATAGGAAAAATAGAGTATATAATTAAATAAGAAAATGGTTAATTTATTAATCTAAGGCACAAATATGCTTACCAACAAATTTTTTGCAATTCAATTATGTGACTAGAAAATCTATATTCAACATCATAAGTTCTTAAGATGACACCTTCTACAATGAAAAGTTAAATATATCAAATAACTTCTTTTAACCTATATTATCAATATTATGAGACAGCAGACTAAAAAAATCAGATTTCCTTCATCCCTTCCACCTTATAATCCAGCAAGTTCTCTAAAAAACTGTGAACATTACTTATGTGACTATTTTACCCCCAAGTGGCTGTATTAGTACAGAATGAATTGCTAGTACTGATACATCCATGTAGGCCTAGTTGTACAACGCAGATGTCAAAGTATTGCATTCACTTTATCCATGGAATAAAACGAACGGCTTGTTGGCTTGTATACATTTTATAATTTTTCTCTGTGCCTTATTTAAGAATGCCTTTATACAACATAAAATTGTTGATCTAACTTTATAAGATAAACCCAATGTAAATAGATTTACTTCTAAATTATAGGGGAAGTTAAGATAAATAAATGAATATTATATGGCAAATAGTAATTTAGTTTTCTTTTTTCAAATTAAATGCCTATCTGCCATTATTATTGTCAATATTAAAATATACCACAAAAAAACTTACTTTTGAAAACAAATATTTTAGTTTATAAAATACTAGGTATTTTTAAATTTTGGTGATGTGTAAAATTTCAAAACTCATTAAAAATTGTGATGACCTAAAAAGATGCAATAACTCCAGTTTAGAAAAATTAGTTTCACTATTGCCTTTACATTACATACACACATGCACACATTCGTTTTGTGTGTGTGTATATATATACACACATATATATACATGTGTGTGCGTATATATATATACACATCCATATACATATATATACACACATCCATATTTATTTTTATACATTGTGCATATAATTTTCTGGTAAAGATTAAATATAACTCTATATTTTTGTATTTTGTATTTTGCTGGATGTTAGGACTAATATTATTTAAAAAATAAACCCTAAAAAAGTTAATTTTATAGAAGTCATCAAATGGTAGTTACCAGAAACTGGGTGATTAGGCAGAGTGTGGGTTAAAAAAATGGTGGTCAAAGAATACAGAATTACAAGTAGACAGATAGAATAAGTTCAAAAATCTATTGTACAGCACTTTTGCTTATAGTTAATGATACTTTATGTTATTCTTGAAAAATGCTAAGAGAATAGATGTTAAATGTTCTCACCACCAAAATATCTATGTGAGGTAATGCATATTTTAGTTACTTAGATTTATCCATTCTACAATATATATACACCTCACAACATCATATTATACACAATAAATACAAAATTATGTCAATTTAAAATAAAATATATTTCTTTAAAAATCAGCTCTAAATATTACTATTGAGAACAAAAGGTATATAAGATTTTAAAATTTGTTTTAGGATTTTTTCTGTTTTCTTCCACCTCTCCAAGTCTTACATACCTTGTTTTTTAGCTAGGTAATTCTGCAACTATCAGGCTTTTGATCCTGATCCCTCCAGTCATGGAGAGATTCTATTTACTAAAGATTCCTTCATGAGATAATAATGTTTTCATGTATTAATTTATTTAACAAATATTTATTGAAAATCTACTCTGTGTCAAGCACTTTTTGGGATGCTTATATTAGTAAATAAAAAGTATATCTGCCTTCATTGCACTGTCATTCTAGTGAGAACACTTCAACAATAAATAATAGATATAATAAATAAACAATATGTACAGTATGTTAGAAGATTAAAGAGCTATAGGATAAACAAGGAGAGTGATACCCATGGGAATGAGAAGGAGAGTAGTTCCAATTTTAAATATGATGACCAGGTGACCTTCTATTGGGATAAGACTTCAGAAAAACTTAAAGGAGGCGGGAGATTAGCTACACAGATAATTAGTGGAAGAATATTCCTAATATACATAGACATGATATTATAATTAAAATGCATTAAATTCATTGTTATATGGAGAATAGATTGTAGGACAACAAGAGTAGAAATAGGAGCAGAAAGCAACAGCAATCTGCAGCTAGAAGAGGCACAGGAGAGCTGAGAAGAAAGACCCTGCCTAGCCTAACTGCAGTTAAGCTAGACCTAATAACCTTTGTTTGAAGGGTAAAATAAAATAAAACATATATAAAAATAGAATAAAAGCCTTCAGTCAGAGACTGAGCCCTGCTCAAAGAAAGGTCTTAGTTTTGTTTTAAGATGATTTTTTTTTCTTTAGACGTAGTCTTGCTCTGTTGCCCAAGCTGGAGTGCAGTGGCACGATCCCTGCTCACTGCAAGCTCTGCCTCCCGGGTTCATGCCATTCTCCTGCCTCAGCCTCCCGATTAGCTGGGACTACAGGCGCCTGCCACCATGCCTGGCTAACTTTTTTTTGTATTTTTATTAGAGATGCGGTTTCACTGTGTTAGCCAGGATGGTCTCGATCTCATGACCTCGTGATCTGCCCACCTCGGCCTCCCAAAGTGCTGGGATTACAGGTGTGAACCACCGCGCCCGGCCTTAAGATGATATTTTTTAGAACCATTGTAGGTCCCCCAAAAAATTAAGAAGAAAGTACAGAGGTTTCCCACATTGCTCTGCCCCTTCACATGTACACTCACTTCCACTGTCAACATCCCCAGCAGAATAGTACATTTGTCACAAATGATAAAACTAAAAAGACACATTATAATTGCCTATAGTCCATCGTTTACATTACGGTTTATTCTTGGTGTTGTACATTCTAGATTTGGGAAAACATATAATGACATGAGTTAAAAGAAAAATTTTTGACAAATTTACTTTAGCAGAGCATACTGGAGCAATGAAACAATTCATGAGTTGGTCAGCACTCTGAACCAGTAAAAGTTCAGAGAGCTCCACACAGCAACATGGGTAGACAGTATTTATAGATGGAAAAGGGAAGTAACATAAGGAAACAGCTTGATTTTCCAGCTTAGCATTTGCTTTCTATGGACATGGTCTGGTCATTTGGCAGCCTGTGATTGTCTGAAAGCTTTGCAGCTAGGATTCAGCTACTTGTTACAAGAATATACTCTTAAATTAGGTTACAAATGGTTTACATACTAAGTTAGGTTAAAATTTGCTGTACACAGACACAGCGTTAGGGCAAATTTAATTAACTATTTCCTCCTTTTGGTCAGCCTCTCAATTTTGAGAGATCGATTAAAACCTTGGTCATTAATGCACTTTCTGTTGGCCTCAGTATAGAATTCACAATTCTCCACATCAGGTCAGTTGAATGTTTCTTTATGTCGTCTTTGTGTCATCATTATTCTAACCATAGACCATCTGACATTTAACAGATGGCAGCATATGAGCGTTTAAGACTCTTGAGACGATATGATGCACGAGGGAGACCCTTATGTTGCCTATCAGGAGGATAATGCTAAGAGACTGAAGTATACTCCTTAACAGGAGCCCCCTTGAACTGAGCTGATCAAAATCAAATATATCAAAAATGAGCCATGAGAGAAATCTACTTGTTTTAACCAAGTAGCTTGTTTGTTGATTTCTTGCAGCCGAGTTTCTGCCATACCAGATGTATTTATCCAAGTGTAACAGGAGGTGTTAGCTATTACACACTCCCCCTTGTTCAGCCAAAGTAGTCTAAAACAATCTTGTTATCTAAGATAATGTTAGCAAGAGAATTTAAAGAAGTTTTCTGGGCAACTATAGCTTTGCAGTAGATTCAGCTATAGTAGATCATGTTTGATACATATTTCTAATCATAACCTCATTTACTTTTATGCCAAACCAAAGAAGGAGCATTCTACCAAAAAAATCCCCTTTAGAATGATTTATGCCTGCTGGCAAATCTCACTTTATTCTATGGTATAAATTTTGAGGTGTTCAGTTTGCAGTTGGTTATGGGGTGACAGTGGTACCTTTAGAATCCCAAATCTACATAGAACTCTTATTTTTCACATTTGAGACATGTATCATTGATTGTTACATCCTCCACAGATAAAGATACATCCTGGAGGGTAACAACAGACAGTTCTCTGTAGGATGCCTTGTGCATTAGGGGTCACCAGTAGGGAAGCACTAATAGTATTTGTCTAAGACTCCATTATTGA
This sequence comes from Homo sapiens, assembly GCF_000001405.40. Classification (NCBI taxonomy): domain Eukaryota; kingdom Metazoa; phylum Chordata; class Mammalia; order Primates; family Hominidae; genus Homo; species Homo sapiens. The sequence goes on along the minus strand of NC_000006.12, from coordinate 103,081,305 downwards.
ATTATTGTACAGTTGGATAACACGATAATTGATAATTAAGAGATTAAGGTTATAAATTTTTCTATAAACTGTCAAATTATCTTTCTTTTGCTTTTCTTATGTAATGTCTGGCATAATTTCACTGCAAAACACTCAAAAAACTCAGTAGGTTTTGCCTACTGTTAGATTTAAATGAGGAATCTTAGTATGTGAATCTAAAAGCCTAACCCTATACAAAGGACCAGATATTATACTTGTAATATCAGTACAACTTGTTAAAGGGTGAATCTGAGAATCTCTAAGATTCATGTAAGAATTTAAGTTTTACATGATATAGCCAATATTCAGTTAACTTAGCTGAGGAAGCTATCAATTATAAAATCTAAATTATTGCATTAACTTGCCATATATAAACCAAAAATAAACACAGAGAAAAGAGAAAAGGGTTTCATGATGACAAAGGAGAGAAGCCTTAATCCATTATCTTGGGAAAGCTGTCCATGCCTTGGATACAATCTGCTACTGGAAAAAAAAAAAATTTCCTGGTCAGCCTTTCCTTGAGGTCTTTAATAGGTGTATAGTACCTAGTATCAAGGGTGTGAAGGGGCTCTCTTGAGTTGAGAGATGTGGATTCAGGACTCCAGGCCTGAATTTCGTAACAGAGAAGTTGCTATGGTCCCTGCCAATGGAGTTCAAGGGCAGTTCTTCTATGTTGTTTTTCTTTTTGCGAAAGACTCACTCTCCAGGTTCTGTGTTACAATGGGAGTATATTCCCATTGTACAATGGGAGAATATTCTCATTGTACAATGGGAGAATATTCCATTTCGCCTGCGGAAAATATACTTTGGTATAAGGCATTAAAGCTTTACACTATTGAGACTTGCTAGAGTATATAAGATTGGGAGATACATGGAGTTTTACTATTAGAAGAATAGGCCTTAGAGTAACTATTTTATTCTGCATTTTGTAGTGGAACTGGATATAATTGCCATTAATCCATAATATCTTTGACCAAAGCAATACAGTCAATTCAGTTCATTTTGCCTAATGCTATTGTGTTTGTAATACTTTTTTAAAGTTTTTTTATAACTTGTCCAGTAAAATGAGTACCTCCATTTCTGAAGATACCTCTAGGGATGCCCCATAAAGAGAGCACATTTTTAATATCTTGGTAGCTACTATGATAGCACTGGTCTTCCTGCACAGGAAAGCTTCTATACAACCAGAAAACAGGAACTGAAAATGGCAATTGACTGAAGTCCATCTGTATGTGTTGAAATGTTCCATCAGGTGCTATAAATATATTACCTGAGGTTTTTATTGTCTTAACAGAATTATGAACTTGGCAAACCAAACATTGGTTAAAAACCACTTTAATAATTTTTACAAAGTAATCACCAACTTTCTTCCTTTATATGTAGTATCATTTTATTTAATCCATGATGAGTCGTAGTGTATAGAGCTTTTAACAATGGAAGCTTCACAGGCTTAGGAAGAAACAGACAGCTTCCCAGGCTCTCCATAATTTCACACTTAGCATAGAATCTACAGTTTTTAAAATACCAATTTTGTTTCTCCAATTCAGGTGCATGGCACTGTTTATTAAATAGGATATCATAGGTAATCTGATCTGAATCACTGTTATGGAGCTCTTTCAAATTTCGTATCTTAACAATTTCAGTACTGGCTGACAGCATGAAATCTGCCAAGGCATTTGTTTTTCTTCTGCTGCTTGATGTTGGGTTAGCAGTTTTCTGAACCAATTAGTTTCTTCCTTAGATTGCTGAAAATTCTTACCCAGTCCAATGGTATGATATTAAAGTTATTAGAAACCTGTACCTTTCAGAGTTCTTTCCATGAATCTCCTTGAAAATGAAACATTTTAGACTTACAGTTGCTCAGGAAAGTACCAGAGTAAACAATTAATCATCTGTAAATGATAAGACTTAAAACAGTGATGGTTAAAGATCTGATGAGAGTTCATTACAATCATGGTACAATTGACAAGAAAATTTGATCATTTACATTTCATAAAACATTTTAAAATAATTACTAAATGATATGGTTTGGCGCTAAATCTTGTCAAATCGTAATCCCCATGTGTCAGAGGAGGGGCCTAGTGAGAGGTGATTGAATCATGGGGGCAGACTTCCCTCCTGCTGTTCTCATGATAGTGAGTGAGTTCTCATGAGATCTGGTTGTTTGAAAGTGTATGGAACTTCTTCCTTCACTCTCTCTCACCTGCTCCACCATGGTAAGACATGCTTGCTTCCCCTTCACCTTCTGCCATGATTGTAAGTTTTCTGAGGCCTCCCAGTAATAATTCCTGTTAAGCCTGCAGAACTGTGAGTCAATTAAACCTCTTTTCTTCATAAATTATCCAGTCTCAGGTAGTTCTTTATAATGGTGTGAGAACAAACTAATATAGAAAATTGGTACTGGGAGAGAGGGGCACTGCTATAAAGATACCTGAAAATGTGAAAATGACTTTGGAACTGGGAAACAGGCAGAGGTTGAAACAGTTTGGAGGGCTCAGAAAAAGACAGAAAGATGTAGGGAAGTTTGTAACTTCCTAGAGACTTGCTGAATGGTTTTGACCAAAATGCTGATAGTGATATCGACAATGAAGTCCAGGATGAGATGGTCTCAGATGGAGATAGGAACTTATTGGGAACTGGAGTAAAGATCACCCTTGCTGTTCTTTAGCAAAGAGACTGGTGACATTTTGCCCCTACCATAGAGATCTGTGGAACTATGAACCTGAGAGAGATACTTTAGGGTATCTGGCAGAAGAAATTTCTGAGCACTGAAGCATTCAAGATGTGACATGGGTGTTTCTAAAAGTAATATTTATATGTGTGAAGAAAGAGATGGTCTGAAGTTGGAACTTATATTTAAAAGGGAAGCAGAGCATAAAAGTTTGGCCTTCTGTCGTGATTGTAAGTTTCCTGACACCTCCCAGTCATGCTTCCAGTTAAGCCTGCAGAACTATGAGTCAATTAAATTTATTTTCTTCATAAATGGATGAGATATTTCTTGGAACAATTATCAGTGTTAACCCATCCTGGATATGACTCTTGGAGTGAGTGGATAAAGTGAAATTTAGGTAACAATAATTTGAATCCAGAAGTACGAAAAAGAGAGAGAGAAGAGAGAATTTGAGGTACTGAGTAGATTATATGTAAGAATACTGTTTCTGTCAAAGGAGATGGAAAATGGAAGACATAGCCCATTTCAAAGTTTTCAGCGAATGAGAAGGCATGACTGGAGGATTTATAGTTTGTAATTACAAAAAGTGTTAGAACATGGATGGAGTTGTTCTCAAAGCAAAATGATGTTTCAGAGAGGGAGAACGTAGCATTTCAATATAAAAGCAATGAACATCAAATGTGGCATATGGAAAAAAGGAAAAATTTCCTCAAATTCTGATTTCTTGTTCTATAATTCAAAGAGACCAAGAGACTATTCAGTTAAATATTTGAAGTGGTAGAAAGTGTATTTACCATTGAATAAAATAAAAAATAGAAAGATTTTTTTTTGGTTGGAGGGAATACTTTGAGAGTGGGTTAGAAGGTAGAAAAATTTTGTAATTATTATTATTTCTGTTTTTGAGATGGAGTCTTGCTCTGTCACCCAGGCTGGAGTGCAGTGACACAATCTGAGCTCACTGCAACCTCCGCCTCCCTGGTTCAAGAGATTCTCCTGCCTCAGCCTCCCGAGTAGCTGGGACTACAGGTGTGAGCCACCACAGTCAGCTATTTTTTTTGCATTTTTAGTAGAGACAGAGTTTCACCACAATGGCCAGGCTGGTCTCAAACTCCTGACCTCAGGCGATCCGCCCACCTCGGCCTCCAGAAGTGCTGGGATTATAGGCGTGAGCCTGGTGCCTGAACAGATTTTGTAATTAGAGAAGAGGGAAGACAACTTGGATTTGAGAATAAGGATACAGGGAAGTGAGCTACTAAGGCTGAGTTGGCATGAATTATCTGGTGAATATGGAAAGCCTCATTTACTCAAAGGCTTTTGCTGTAGCTGACTGAGATAGTTTAAAGTTCAGAGTAAGCCCAATTGTCAGTGAAAAAAAATCAGAAACTAGATTAGTTGCCTCCCAGGAGTAACTTCATATTAGAGGAAACTTGAAGCCATTGTGCTGAATTTAACTTATAAGCTCTGCAATGTTACATTCATTTAAGAAAGATTGTTGGCTGGCGCGGTGGCTCACGCCTATAATCCAGCACTTTGTGAGACCTAGACGGGCGGATCACGAGGTCAGGAGATTGAGAGCATCCTGGCTAACACGGTGAAACCCCGTCTCTAGTACAAATACAAAAAATTAGCCGGGAGTGGTGGCCTGTAGTCCCAGCTACTCGGGAGGCTGAGGCAGGAGAATGGCGTGAACCTGGGAGGCAGAGCTTGCAGTGAGCAGAGATCGTGCCACTGCACTCCAGCCTGGGCGACAGAGCGAGACTCGGTCTCAAAAAAAAAAAAAAAAAAAAGAAAGATTGTTGTGTTTAACAATTTTTGCAAAGGTAAAAATAGTAAACATATTTGATTCAATTTTTAAAATATATTTGAGTGTGTATGAAAATTAACACAAAAACCCACCTTCCAAAATGAGGCTTCATACATAGTAAAAGAGTATATTCAAACCGTATATCACTTATTAAAATTAAAAACATTAAAAAAGTAAAAAAGTTTCAGTGAGTGTTGGGAGATTGACTTTTAGTAGAACTAAAAATTCTGACGGTTCACAAAGTTGAAGGTGTTGAAGCTTAAACTAAAAATAAAACTATTATATTATTAAAAATTTGAAAAGTAAAAATGAAGAGATGAAGGAAGAATTAGAGATTAAAGATAAATAACGTGGCATTTTGACTTTGAGGCAATTTTTGCACAATAGAATAATTGTTAAGAACATAAGCAATGACAATAGGTGATAAAGATGGGTAAAGGAAAGTTTAGAGGAAATTAAGGAAAAATAATGAAAATCAGTATTGAAATGATTAGATTTCATAAAAGTAGAGAAAGCATAGGAGGATAAAAGTATAGTTTATTCGATCAAAGGGTTGTTTTAACTATAGGGAATCATTAAGTAGAGTCTGTAAAAGAGGACTGTACTAGAGAAGTGGTCATTAAAAATAGACTACTCATTCGTTTCCCGATTATTTCAAATACCATAATTTGAGATAATATAAAGTAGTTTGCAATTATATAAAGTCCTAATTTGCAATTATATAAAATTCTGGTCATTTAACTTACATTCTTCCTAGTTCAGTCTTTAGTTCTATCAAAAACTTCTAGTTCACTGAGATATTAAACTAAATGTGTAGATATATTAATATATGCATGCACACACATATATAAGCATGTTTAAAGAGTTCTAGAATTACATTGACCTATTTCAGATGATCATATTAATAGTATAAAGATATTAATAGCACATAAGATTAAAAGAAGCATTTATTCATTTATTTTATAATGCAGAAATATATTACCTAAATTATAAATAAAGCTCATATTCAGAACACTTCTATTAGAAGGCCATTTTATTTAGATAAACTTAATTGTCCTTCTGAACATGAGAGAGAATATAAAAGATGGATATAAGATTAATTTAAAGATGGCATGAGATACCAGTAGTATTCAACTAAATTAATCTATATTAAGATAGAATTTGATTATGGCCATTCTTGCAGGAGTAAGGTGGTATGGCATTGTTATTTTGATTTGCATTTCCATGATCATTAGTGATGTTAGGCATTTTTACATATGCTTGCTGGCCATTTGAATACATTCTTTTGCAAATTGTCTATTTATGTCCTTAGCCCACTTTTTGATAAGATTGTTTTGTTTTGTTTTGTTTTTATTGCTGATTTCTTTATGTTCTTTGTAGATTCTGGATATTAATCCTTTGTCAGATGTATAGACTGTGAATAAAGTATCCACAGATGTATAAATCTGTGAAGGTTTCCTTCCACTCTGGGTTGTCTGTTAACTCTACTGATTATTATAATTATTTTCTGTGCAGAAACATTTTAGTTTAATTTAGTTTATTTAAGTTCAATCTATTTATCTTTGTTTTTGTTGCATTTGCTTTTGGGTTCTTGGTCATGAAGTCTTTGCCTAAGTCAATGTCTAGAAGGGTTTTTCTGATGTTATCTTCTAGAATTTTTATGGCCATAATCAAAAAATTAAAAAAAAATAGATTTTGGCATGAATGTGGTGAAAAGGGAACACTTTTACACTGTTGGTGGGAATGTAACTTAGTACAATCACGATGAAATACAATACAGAGACTCCTTAGAGAACTAAAAGTACATCTGCCATTTGATCCAGCAAACCCACTCCTGGGTATCTACCCTGTGGAAAATAAGTTATTATATGAAAAAGATACTTGCACATGCATGTTTATAGCAGCACAATTTACAATTGAAAAAATATGAAACCAGCCCAAATGCCCATCAATCAACAAGTGGAAAAATAAAATGTGATATGATATATATATATATGTATATGTGTGTATATATATGTATATGTATATATATACACACCATGGAATACTAGTAAGCCATAAAAAGGAACAAAATAATGGCATTCACAGTGACCTAGATGGAATTGGAGACTACTATTTTAAGTGAAGTAACTCAGAAATGGAAAAAGCAAACATTATGTCTTCTCACTCAAGTGGGAGCTAAGTTATGAGGAAGCAAAGGCATAAGAATGATACAAAGGACTTTGGGGACTTTGAGGAAAGAGTGGGAGGGAAGTGAGGGTTAAAAGACTACACATTGGGTACAGTGTGCGCTGCTTGGGTGATGCGTGCACCAAAATCTCAGAAATCACCACTAAATAAACTTATCCATGTAACCAAACACCATCTGTCCCCTAAAAACCTAATGAAATAAAAAATAAATTTTAAAAATGGAATTTAAGATGGGAGACCTATAACTGCTGCATTCCCTATTGCTTTTGATTGCTTTGTCAATATCAGCTTACTGTAATGTAAGTAGCATGATGACATATCGTGACTTTAATGTGTATTTCAAGAATTCTGAGTGTTGATTGAGATGCCTCCAGAGCCACCATATGAAAAAAGATAAAGCAGAGAAGATCTGACTCTTATTTATTTTAAATGCTTGCTTCAATCAGGGTACTTTCTTTTTTTTTTTTTTTTTGTATTTTTTCACCTTATGCTTTTGTGTCTTGAAAGGGTATTTCTACATTAAAAAATACTGGAAAAAGCATCAGAAATTAATGAGCGCTGTTTTTCTGGAAAAAAAAAACAGATTAAGAGTTCCTAAATGTATAAATTATGTAGCACAGTTTTTCAATTTAGAAGTGAAAAAATAATTTTATTTTACCTTTTTGTTTTCTTTCCACGTGTAACTTCAAATTTGTTTGATAAGTAGTGTGAGAATAACTCTTTGTATATTTTCTTTACTTTTATTTTCAGATGTTTAAGGTCTACTTTCATTCACATGTGCCTTGAAAAACTTTTGTACTACCTGAACCAATGTCCCTGTTTCCTCACCCCATCATAAAGCAGCTACTTGTCCTTACTTGTAAGTTCTGTATTTAGCTTTTATTCCTGGAATCCAACTCAGGTCATTTCAAAACAATCAAAGAGCTGTATTTTGATAATTTTATTTTTTGGAGATTTCTCCCATTTCCTTTGTTTTTTTTTTTTTTTTTTGTATTCTCTTACAAATTCTTGGAGCCCCCACCTTCGTCTTTTTAACACATTTCCAACATACTTTAATTTTAATATCCTTTCCTTATTGCCTAACCCCATAAATTTGTCATACTAGTAAGTATTCCACCCTTTGTTGATGGAGGCTATTGTCCTTAAATCTTATACCTTTCAATTGATCTTGAAAAACTCATTTACTGTATCATATACCTGTAGTAATCTGTGGTTGTGATACTGACCACATGATTCCCTAGGTCTGTCCCATATGCTGCTGATAACACCTCCAGTTTTTCCATGTGTAAATTGTTTTTGTTTTCGTGTTGCTTTTGGTTTTTTGGCCTATTTTTTGTTAGACTTTCCTGAACTCTTTGTTCACGCCCTGTTATATTTGTATAGTCCCATTGTCTTAATGCTCTCAAGGATCTGTGGCACTGATCTGATAACTTGCTCTTAAAATGTCCCCCAATTTGACAGCATCTCAGAATGTCATGTGCACATCTGTTACTCTTGTTAAGACTAATTGTACTGCTACTAGCACTGTCTTTGTTTATGTCCTTACCAATTATGGACCCTAATATTATCTGCATTCAAGTTTGTGAATCAAGTTTGAGTCCAAGAACAAGAGGAAGCACCATACTCTACCTGTCAGCAATATGAAGAGTCTACTTCAAAGATATATGCAGAATCCAATTCTCTCTTTTACTGAAGCTGCTACCACTCAGGTCTAATCTATCATTTCTGTTTTTGCTTGGATTAAAACAGTAGCCTCCCAACTGTTCTGACTGCTTCTGCTCTTGTTACATAAAGTTTGTTCACAGCAAAACATGCAGAGAGATCTTATTATAAGTCAGATTGTGACACTCTGTGTGCAAAACTCTCCAATGTATTCTTATCTCACTTAAAGGAAAAGTTTATGATCCATAATGTGATTTATAATCTGGCTTCCCTGTTACCTCTCTAACCTCACTTCTCCTGGTTCCCACATTCAGCTTCTCAATTCAGCCACACTGGCCTTCTCAACCTTCTCCAAATCTGCCAGTCATTCTCATCAATAATTTCATTGAATGCAGGAATGTTAGCATGTTTTATATTGCTTAAAATACATGATGATAAAAAATTACATGGCTAAGTTTGCTCAAAATTTATCTATACATGATTCAACTACTTTTATAATTATGTAAAAAAATTGTTTCAATTTAAGGCCACACAATATGCACATTTATTATTTTATTTCTATTTTTAATTTTTGTGGATACAAGCAGATGTATGTATTTATGTAATACATGAAATACTTAGATACAGGCATGCAATGTGTAATAATCACATCATGGTAAATGGAGTATCCATCCCCTCAAGCATTTACCCTTTATGTTATAAACAATCCAATTATACTCTTTTAGTTATTTAAAAATGTGCAATTAAATTATTATTAACTGTAGTTATCCTGTTGTGCTATCAAATATCGGGTCTTATTAATTCTTCCTAATTACTTTTTGTACCCATTAACCATCTCCTCCCCAAGCCCCCCGCCCACTACCCTTCTCAGCCTCTTGTAACTTTCCTTCTACTCACTATCTCTATGAGTTCATTTGTTTTAATTTTTACCTCCCACAAATAAGTGAGAACATGTGATGTTTGTATTTCTGTGCCTGGCTTATTTCACCTAACATAATGACCTCTAGTTTCATTCATGTCACAAATGACAGGATCTCATTCTTTGTTATGGCTGAAGAGTGCTCCATTGTGTAAATGTATCACATCTTCCTTATTCATTCACCTCCTGATGGATGGCTAGGTTGCTTCCGAATCTTGGATATTGTGAACGGTGTTGCAAGAAACATGGAAGTGCAGATATCCCTTCAATATACTGATTTTCCTTCTTTTGGGTGTATACCCAACAGTAAGAATACTGGATTGTATGGTGGCTCTATTTTTAGTTTTTAGAGGTACTTCCAAACAGTTTATCATAGGGGTTATATTAATTTACATACACACCAGCAGACTATGAGGGTTTCATTTTCTCCACATCCTTGCCAGCATTTCTTATTGCCTGTCTTTGGATAAAAGTCATTTAAACTAGAGTGAGATGATATCTCATTGTAGCTTCGATTTTCATTTGTCTGATAATCAATGTCGAGTACTTTTTCATATGCCTCTTTGCCATTTGTATGTCTTCTTTAGAAACTATCTATTCAGGTCTTTTGCCCATTTTATATTGAATTATGAGATACTTTTCCTATAGAGCTATTTGAGCTTCTTATGTATTTTTGTTATTCATCACTTGCCATATGGGTAGTTTGCAAATATTTCCTCCTATTCCATGGGTTGTCTCTTCACTTTTTTGACAGCTTCCTTTGCTCTGCAGAAACTTTTTAACTTAATGTGATTCCATTTGACCATTTTTGTTATGGTTGCCTGTGTTTATCGCATATTACTGAAGTAATTTTTGTCCAGGCCAATGTTCTAGAGAGCTTCCCCAATGTTTTCTTGTAATAGTTTCACAGTTGAAGGTCTTAGACTTAAGTCTTTAATACATTTTGATTTGATTTTTGAACATAGTGAGAATTAGACATCTAGTTACTCTCTTCTGCATGTGAATATTCTGTTTTCCCAGCACCATTTATTGAAGAGACTCCCTTTTCCCCAGTGTATGTTCTTGGCACCTTTGTTGAAAATAAGTTCACTGTGAATATATGGATTTGCTTTTGGGTTCTCTATTCTGTTTTATGAGTCTGTTTTTATGCCAGTACCATTTTTTTTTCTACTATAGCTCTGTAGGATAATTTAATGTCAGGTAATATGATTTTTTCCAGTTTTGTTCTCAGGATAGCTTTGACTATTCTGGATCTTTTGTGGTTCCATATACATTTTAGGGATGTTTTTCCTATGAATGAAGAATATCATTGATGTTTTGACAGGAATTGCATTGAATCTGTAGATTGCATAGCACGGACATTTTAACAATATTGATTCTTCCAATTCATGAACATGAGATATTTTTCCATTTTTTGATGCCCTCTTCAATTTTTTTCATCAGTGTTTTATAGTTTTCATTGTAGAGATCTTTCACTTCTTTGGTTAATTCCTAGGAATTTAATTTATACCATCTCACACCCATCAGAGTGGCTATTATTAAAAACTCAAAAATAACAGATGCTGATGAGGTGTCAGACAAAAGTGAACACTTATACACTCTTGGTGAGCGTGTACATTACTTCAGTCATTGTGGCAATCAGTATGGTCATCCCTCAAAGACATAAAATCAGAATTACCATTTAATCCAGCAATCCCTTTACTAGGCATATATCCAAATGAATATAAACCATTCTAACAAAAATATAAATGCATGTGAATGTTCATTGCAACACTATTCACACTAGCAGACATGAAATCAACCTAAATACCGATCAATGACAGATTGAATAAAGAATATGTGGTACATATATACCATGGAATACTATGCAGCCATAAAAAATAATGATATGATGTCTTTTGTAGGAACATGGATGGAGCTGGAGGCTATTATTCTTAGCAAACTAATGCAGGAACAGAAAACCAAATACCATGTGTTCTCACTTATAAGTGGGAGCTAAATGATAGGAACTTATGAACACAAAGAAGGAAACAACAGATACTGGGGTCTGCTTGAGGCAAGAGGGCAGGAGGAGGGAGAGGAGAAGAAAAAATTACTATTGAGTACTGGCCTTAACACGTGAGTGATGAAATAATGTGTACCACAAACCCCTGTGACACTGTGTTTCTCTGTGTAACAAACGTTCACATGTACTTCCAAACCTAAAATAAAAGATAAAAAAAAAAAGACTGTATTGTCTACCTTCTTTAATGCCTCTTAACAGTGATATGAAGTCAAAACCAGGTACAGTGATTGCTCACTTCATTTTTCACTCTTATGATGATGATTTTTAATGTGTAGTTAGTTATTAAAATTTGGTGTTCTTGTGGTGGAGATGATTTATAAAGGCTTTTATTTGATCATCTTGCTCTGCCCCTCATATGGACTTTCTACCTTTAATTTTTCCCTATCAGTTGGCAGGTATTTGAAGTAATAAAATTAATTTCACAATATGCATTAGCAAAGTGTAATTACCCTGGAAAATCTGTTTCTGGAGAAAAAAATCATAAAATCTGTTTCATAGACAGAAATTGTTTTTGTATTACCTGGTGAAAGACTAATTTCAATCACTCATTTCAACTGAAGTAAGATGAAAATGAATTACACATATAATGCTTAAATGTCCTATTTAATCTTTCTGTATGGATAAAATCACAATTAGATAGATTGCCACAACTATTTAGTAACCAATTTTGTTAACATTCATAGACAAAACATTACTTTTTTTATTTTCAATGTTATTCAGTTAAGAAGTAAATGAAAATATAGAGCTCACAAGCTTTATGAGAAATTTTTCCAATTTTTTTGAGCAATGGCAATTCTTTAATATTATAATTGAAAAGAATTACTTTTATCTAAATCAAAAATCCTTTGCCTGCTTTCCACATGGGTTTTCAATGTCACTGCATTTACAGAATTACCCACTTACAAAATAACAGAAAAATTATCTCATCAGACAGCTATTATACAGTAGTAATTTTGTTTCAGAAGTGTTCATATGTTAAGTGAATTGCCTTCAATAAAGTTTTAAATACGTATTTTAAATTTCATATTAAGATGTAAGAACATTGTTCTATGCAACTCTTTTTATTGCCTAAAATTCTATTCTATTTCTCCAAAGAGATAATGACTAATTTCAGAGGGCAGAGGAAATTTTTTAAAGATGCAATGTTATCTGAATGTCCCCTAAAAATTATATTCCATTTAGAAATGAAGCCTTTTTCTCTCTGGCAGTTTTGTATTTTTTGTGACATGTCAGATACTACCTTGAATTATAATTTTGGAAATGATTGTTTTCACAAAATAACCTATCCACATTATAACTCATTATTCAATAGCGGCACAATATTTCACTATAAAAGTATGCTGTCTTTATTGACTTAACCATTTCTCAACTGATAGACCATTATGTTGTTCTATATATTTTGTTACCTAAATAACTCTACAATGAAGACATATTCATATATACAAATTTATAGTTTTAGAACAAGTATTAAGAATCAGAGTGATGTCACCCAAATGGCAGACTAGAAGTAGGCTTGCTTTACCACCATGCACTCAGTAAACAACAAACACATATGCAACACCAGTATTGCCATCAGCAATATCCCAGCACTCAGATCTGAGGATGAGACAGTTCCTGGAACCACAAAGAAGTGAAAAGAAGCAAACAAGCAAAAAGAACACTCTCAGCTGATAGTAAGAGCATCAGACTTCTAGATTCACAATGCCCCTCCCCCAAACAGGCACAGTGAGTGCAGACAATTTCCTCCAGACTCAGTTTCAACACTGAAAAAATGAGATCAAGATGGACAATCAGCTTCCTCATCATCTTGGATTTCCTTACGGGAGAGCTGCTCTTCCTTCATATACAGGAAGTGTCACGAGTGCCTTAAGTGAGGGGAAAAAAAAAAAATACCTGAAGGCAGCCAGACTCAAAAAGTGGGAGCGGGACTACATCTCAAGCCCATAAAATCTGCTTTTATCCAGGCCAAAAAAGATACCAAATCAGAGCGGCAATTTAGTGGCACTACGCTGTAAGGGGCATGTTTCATGGATTTCCCGGGCACAAACCCCTAGTCAGCCTTCCACCACACAGCTTGGATATCCCTTTGGTGACCTACTCTATACAGGATGGGCAATGTCCCAATATTTTGCTAGAGGTGATATTGGGTTTAAAGCACGATCTATTACTTAAAAGAAGGTAGTGAACAAGTGTAAAATATATTCAACAGGTAGACTACAAGGGTTCTCAAAGAAAACATATGCAAGAAAAAATTTAAAAAGACAGAAAAGACTGGCATAAATAACTAATGCTTCAATGTAAAGACATAGAAGTATATCCATAAGAAGCAACAGCCAAGAGGGAACCATGACTTTCCCAAAAGGACAAAGCAAGAAGTCAGTAACTAACCTTAAGAAGATGATGATGTATGAGTTCTCTGATGAGAATTCAAAACAGCAATCTTAAGGAAACTCTGTGAACTTCAAGATAACAAAGAAAAGCAATTCAGAAATTTATCAGAGAAATTTAACAAGGAGATAAAAATTTTAAAAAATCGAATGAAAGCCTGCAGCTGAGAAGTATATTTGCTGAACAGAAAAATGCATTAGAAGCTGTTAAGAGTAGAATGGATAAAACAAGGAAAAAAATCAATGACGTTGAAAACGGTATTTAAAGACACTCAGAGGAGAAAGAAGAAAAGAGAATGGAAAGGAATAAAGAACACCTACAAGATATAGAAAATGGCCTCAAGAGAGCAAATCTAAGAATTGTTGATGTCCAAGAGGGAGTTGTAAAGGAGCCAGGAGTAGTCTTATTCAATAAAATAGTAATTGACAACATTCTAAAATTTGAGAAATATATAAATATTCAGGTACAGAAAGGTCAGAGATCACCAAACAAATTCAACCCAAATAAGACTAACCCAAAATATATAATAATCAGGCTCTCAAAGGACAAAAGCAAAGAGATGATCTTGAAAGCAGTAAGAGAAAAGAAGCAAATACTATATAAAAGAGCTTCAATTCATTAGGCATTGGAGTTCTCAATGGAAACCATACAGGTCAGGAGCAAGTGGGATGAAGTTTTCAAAGTTCTGAAAGAAAAAATAAAAAATGCTAACCAAGAACACTGTACTATCCTTCAAGCATGGAGGAGTTATTAAGTTTTTAACATAAACATGAGGAAATGTAATACCACCAGACCTCTCTTACAAGGAATTCTAAAGATAAATATTAAATCTGAAAAGAAAGACACTAACATACAAAAAGAAAACATTGAAAGATGTAAAATCAACTGGTAAAATGAGTATAAAAACTCAGGTTATTCTAGAGCTGTAATTATGTTGTACAGTACACTCATATCTCTAGGATGAAGATGAAAAGATGATTCTATCACAAGCAATAATAGCTAAGATATTAATAGAACGGCAATATGAAAAGAAATAAATTGAGATGACAAAAAGATACAATGTGAAGGTGGATGGAGTTAAACTCTAGAGTTATTTTTAGTTTTTTCTTTGTTCATTTCTGCTATTTTCTTTTTTTTCTTCAGACAGAGTCTCGCTCTGTCACCCAGGCTGGAGTGCAGTGGCGCGATCATGGCTCACTGCAAGCTCTGCTTCCCAGGTTCACACCATTCTCCTGCCTCAGCCTCCTGAGTAGCTAGGATTACAGGTGCCCGCCACCACGCCCAGCTAATTTTTTTATTTTTTATTTTATTTTTTTATTTTTAGTACAGACGGAGTTTCACCATGTTAGCCAGGATGGTCTGGATCTCCTGACCTCGTTATCCACCCTCCTTGGCCTCCCAAAGTGCTGGGATTACAGGCGTGAGCCACCACACCCCGCCCATTTCTGTTATTTTCTTTGTGATCAAAGATAAGTTGTCCTCTGTTTAAAATAACTTGTTATATCTATTAGATGGTTTTGGTAAGCCTCATGATAATTGCAAAGCAAAAACCTACAATAGATATTTTAAAATGAAAAGCAGCAAATTAAAACATATTACCAGAGAATTGTACTTAACCAAGAGAAAAGGCAGCAAGGAAGAAAGAGATGAGTTATAAAGCAACCAGAAAACAAGTAACCAAATGACAGTAGTACATCCTTACCTATCGATAATAGCATTGAAAATAAATAAACTAAATTATCCAATGAAAAAACATAGAGTGACTGAATTAAAAAAAAACAAGATTCAACTTGCTGCCTATGAGAAACCCACTTCACTTATAAAGACGCACACTTAAATGTGAAAGAATGTAAAAGATAATCCATGAAATGAAAACCAAGAAAGAACAGGAATATCTATATAACTATCTATAGCTATATCTATATATCAGATAAAACAAACTACAAGCCAAAGACAGTAAAAAAATTAATAAATAAAAGATCACTGTATAATGATAAAGGAGTCACTTCAGCAAGAAGATATAACAATTTTAAATATCTATGCACCCAATACCAGAGTAGACAAATATATAAGGCAAGTATTTGTAGAGCTATTGGGAGAGATAAAATACAATTCCATAATAATAAAAACCAGAGTGGATATAAATGAAATTTAAACTTAAAAAATACAAAAGATAAGTAAATAAAAATGTGCTTTTTTGAAAAGATAAAACTTGACATACCTTCTAGAGATGAGACCCAAATAAATAAAGTTAGAAAAAGGAGACGTAACAACTGATACCCAAAAAAATACAAAAAATTATTAGAGATAATTATGAACAACTACATACCAACAAAGTAGAAAATATAGAAGAAATAGATAATTTTTGAACACTTTCAATCTATCAAGATTGCATTATGAAGAAATTTTAAAAAGACCATTAATGTGTAATAAAATCTAAGCCATAATAAAAAGTCTTTCATCAAAGAAGAGCCTAACACCTACATGAACACATATGTTTATTTCAGCACTATTCACAATAGCAAAGACTTGGAACCAACCCAAATGTCCATCAACGATAGACTGGATTAAGAAAATGTGGCATATATACACCATGGTATACTATGCAGCCATAAAAAAAGGATGAGTTCATGTCCTTTGTAGGGACATGGATAAAGCTGGAAAACATCATTCTCAGCAAACTATTACAAGGACAGAAAAGCAAACACCGCATGTTCCCACTCATAGGTGGGAATTGAACAATGAGAATACTTGGACACAGGGTGGGGAACATCACACACACCGGGGCCTGTCCTGGGATGGGGGGAGCGGGGAGACATAGCATTAGGAGATATACCTAATGTAAATGATGAGTTAACAGGTGCAGCACACCAACATGGCACATGTATACATAGGTAACAAACCTGCACGTTATGCACATGTACCCTAGAACTTAAAGTATAATTAAAAAAAAAGAAAAGAAAAGCCTAACACCTGAAGGCTTTTCTGAATTCTACCAAACATACGAAGAACTAATACCAGTTCTATCAAAATATCAAGAAAATTAAAGAGGAAGGAATACTTCCAAATTTATTCTATAAGGTCAGCATTACCCTGATATTAAAATCAGATAAAGATTCAACTGAAAACTACAGGACAATATCCCTGATAAACATAGATGCGAAGGTTGTCAATAAAATACTACTAAATCAAAAAACATCATTTACCACGATCAAGTAGGCTTCATCCCAGGGATGCAAAGATGATTCAACACATCAGTATCAATAAGTATTATATATCACATTAACAGAACCAAGAAAAAAATTATATGATTATATCAATAGATGTTTTAAAAGTGTTCAGTAAAATTCAATATTCCTTTATGATAAAAACTCAACAAATTAATTCTAAAAACAAGCCTCAAAGCAATAAAGAACATATATGACAGATCCACAGCTAACATAATAAATGGGTAAAGATTGAAAGTCTTTCCTCTATGATCTGGAACAAGACAAGATTGCCCACTTTTACCACTTTTCCTCAACATAATACTATAAGTCCTAGCCAGAGCAATAGGCAAGAGAAAGAAATAAATGACATCCAAATTGAAAAAAAAAAGTAAAATTATCCTTGTTTGTAAATAATTTTATGTTTAGAGAAACCTAAAGACTTCACCTAAAAAAATGTAGAATTTGTAAACAAATTCAATAAACTTGCCTGATACAAAATCAACATATAAAAACAGAAACTTTTATATATGACAATAGGGAGCAATCTGAAAAAAATACATAAAACAATCTCATTTTATATAGCTACAAAAAAAAACCATAACAACTCTAGGAATAAATTTAACCAAAGAAGTGAAAGATCTCTACAAGGAAAACTGTAAAACATAGTTGAAAGAAATTGAAAAAGACACACACAAAAAAACAGAAAGACATTTTACATTCTTGGATTGAACAACTAATATTGTTTAAATATCTATGCTACCAAAATAGCTGTACTACCAAAACAAAAATATGGAATTAAGTGTCCATCAATGAATGAATAAAGAAAATTTAGTACATATACATAATGGAATTTTATTCAGCCATTAAAAAATGAAATCATGTTATTTGCAGCAACATAGATAGAACTGGAGGTCATTATAAGTGAAATAAGCCAGGCACAAGAACACAATATTGCATGTTCTCATTCATATGTGAGAACTTAAAAAGTGGATCTTATGAAGTAATGAGTGGATTGGTGGCTACCAGAGACCAGGAAGAGAGTGGGGAGGGACAGATGAAGAGACATTGAGTATAGGTGCAAAAATACAGATGTATAGAAAGAATAACACCTAGTGCTTGATATTTTAGTAAGGTGAACTGTAGTTACTAATATTCTATTGTATACTTCAAAATAGATAAAAAAAGAAAAATTCAGATATTTCCAGCATAAAGAAAATAAACATGTTAAAGGTGATAGATATTCCCATTACCCTAATTTAATCATTACGCATTTTATGAATGTATCAAAATATCACAAGTGCCCTGAAAATATGTACATCTACTAGGTTTCAGTAAAACAGCAAATACAAGTATCAGAGACTACATAGATTTTAATTTTTAATAGATGTGGCCACATTTTCTTCCTAAAGACTGTAACTCTTTACATTGTCATGATAAATGGTTTGGGAATCCAATTCTTTAAACTTTTTCCTGATTTTATTACTTTATAATTTTTTCTAAGATTATATATTGCCTTATTGTTCTTTGTTACTTTGTTCTTTTGTCAACTGCCCTTTTAAAATTTCACATTAATAATAAACACCATATTATTATGTATATTAACACTCTGTTATCTGTGTTGCAAAAATATAGTTCTACTGAGCCACTTAAAATATGCATTTATTGTGTCTTGCCTTTACCTTTTAAAATGATATTGTATACTTTCTGGATATAGTTTTACTTTATCCAATTCAGTTGTAATAAATTACCTCAAACTTTGTGGCTTAAAATACAAATAATAATTATCTCTCAGTGTCTTTGGGTCAGGAATTTTGGCATAGCTCGGGAGGGTCCACTGAGTCAGCATCTCACATAGGCTGAAATCAAGGTGACGATTAAGGCTGTAGTCCTGTTATCAGGTTAAACTGAGAGAGGATCAACTTCTATGCTCTCTTGTGTAGTTATTAGTATAATTTAGTTCTTCCCAAATTGTTGGTTTAAGAGCTGCATTTTCTCACTGGCTGTAGGCCAGATGTCTTTCTTAATTCCACATCAGATGTTTCTCCCCCTAGGACAGCTCATAATATGGCAATTGGCCTCTATCTGAATGAACAAATGAGAAATAGTGAGAAAAACAAAAAGCCAGCCTTTTAACACTCAATCTCAAAAGTGATATTCTATCATCTTTGCCATCCTTTATGGCATAGAAGCAAATCATTTGGACCAGACCAAACTAACAGTGAGGGGATTACACAAGGTCATGAATATCTGGAGGCAGAAATCTTTGAGAAGCGTCAGAAGCTGTATGGCACAGATGCTTAAAATCTTATTTAGATAAATTTGCCTGAACATTGCTTTATTATTTATGACTTTGACAGGAAAAAAGTGTTTGTGGCTTGTTAAAATTACTTTACTATGCCTAGAATAGTGCTTGGAATGTAATAAACACTCATTATTTGTTAAATAAATGCATAAATAAGTAGATATACTATTAAAATACTTAATATGATTTTAATTGCCTTTATGTCTTATGTGATAGAATTCAAAGATGCCCATAAAGCCCCAGTCCATCCTGTGTCCATGCCACTTGCAATGTAACGTGATACATCCCTCTATCACAAGGTGTACTTTATATTTCCACACAGCAAATCTAGGCTTGTCTGATTTGCTTTTGCAAATATAATGGAGTGTGGCAGCAGTGACAGTGCTAGCTCTGAGCTAGGGGCTAAAGAGATTTTGTATGAATCTACACTGCCTTTGAGCTCTACTGCTACCATATGAACAAGCCTGAGCCAACAAGCTGAAAAATGATAAACCACGTGAAAAAGACACAATCTCAAACATCAGATCTATCCAATCAGAAACATCCCACCTCTCTACAGAGTGGCAGCTCCCTGGTGATCAAGAAGTGATTAAACACATAACTGTACCCAGCCAACACCATCAGGATGAGTTGAGCCTGGCTTAAACTTATGGTTCTGTAGAACCATAGAATTGTGACATGAATCAATGTTTATTGTTTTGAAGTGGTTAATTACAGAGTAAAATCTAAATAATATAACTCATGAATATTTTTAATCTTTAGGTTTACAGTAATGTTGAAACATAGTACTGAATGTTTCTGCATATCTGTCATTCAGTTTTTGCAATTTAATTAGTGGAAGGGCTTTTCTGTGTTATTTGTCTTTGTTAGTAAGTTTTAAGTTTATTATATTGTGATTACAGACATTTGATAAAATATTTCAGTTTATAAAATTTATTATTCATATATGTACATAATACAGTTGTAAATATATACAGAATAAAAGAAAAAAATAAAAAATAAAAAACAAAAAAGAAAAAGAAATATATATATACATACACATGTGTATACTATGATAGTGATTACATTGCTTAAATTTTATTTCCTAATGTATTTTTTTGTCCACCCACTTAATTTGTCTTGTCCTAAGAGGAATGTATTAAAGTTCCCATCATTGGTATATTTATATCTATTTCTCTTTGCGTACCCGATAATTTTTGCTTAATAAATGTTTTCTATCTTATTTCATGCATACATATACATAAATGTTATATATTCCTATGGTCTATGGATTTTAGCAGTAAAATGTACCTTGTTTAAATGCTTCTGATTTTGAATTTTACCACGTCAGATACAAAGATATTATTCCTGCTCTTTTGCATCAATTTTTATGGTAAACATTAGTCCATCCCTTAGTTTTTACCTTTCTAAATCACTCTGTTTTACATATGTCTATAGTATACACCATATGTTTGGGTTTTGTTTTAGGAGCAAAATTGAACTTGCTTTTGTTCAACAGGACAATTGAATCCATGTACATCTCTTATTATGACTGATATGTCTGGTCTCAGCTCTATCATAATATTTTACAATTATGTACATTTTGTTTTGTTTGCTATGTTTTTTTTCTTTCCATGTGTATACCTTGATACTTATTTTTAAATATTGGCTTTAAGAAAGGTTTATGTCATTATTCTACTAAGTATTTTTGAGCATATATTTTATTTAATGTCCTTTCAAGTCTCATTTACTTAATAGTTTTATTATTAATTCATAACAGGTTTCATTTTTTTCTTACTGTACTTATTGACTATACAATGGTAGCTTATTGCTTTTCTTATTTCCTTCTCCTTTTTCTCCTGTTTTTTTTTTAGCTGCATTATTTTTACCTTGTTACATTGTGACTTTACTACATTTGGACATTTTTAAAATTTGAAGAATTTTTCCGAAATTTATAAATGTAATAAAGTCACAATGTAACAAAGTAAAAATAATCCAACTAAAATGACATGTTTATATACATATGCACTTTAAAATATTCACCATCAGTTCTTTTTCTGAAGTTTTGTTCATTATTTGGTTAGATAAAGCTCATCTAGGAGATTACTCAGGAAGGGCTGATTGGTGCACAATTTCAAACATTATGTATGCCAAAAACTTTTTGTCTATAGTGTTGATATTTGAAATTCAGCTTGGTTAGACTTATCAAAGGTTTAATAACTGGTTCTGGTGGAACTTTTAATAATTTAATATTAAATGGTAATTGCTATCTTTGGCTGCTAATCAGAGAAAAAATTTTCTTTTTTATTAAATTTCAATTTTTATTCTTTAGAATTATTTCATGTTTTTATTTCTGTTTTTCATTTAGAGGTATATGTACAAGTTTCTAATATAGGTGAATTACATGTCATGGGGTTTGGTATACATATTATTTTGTCACCCATGTAGTAAACATAGTACTGATAGGTAGATTTTCAATCCTTTTTCTCCTCCCAACCTCAAATAGGCCATGATGTCTGTTGTTCCCTTCTTTGTGTCAATTTTTACTGAATATTTAGCTCCTACTTATAAGTGAGAACATGTGGTATTTGGCTTTCTATTCCTGAATTAGTTTTCTTAGGATTATGGCCTCCAGCTCCACCCATGTTATTGCAAGGAATATGATCTCATGCTGTTTTATGGCTGTGTAATATTCCATAGTGCATACATACCAAATTTTTTTTATCCATTCTAACATTGATGGGCATTTAGCTTCATACTATGTATTTGCTGTTGTGAATAATTCTGCAATGAATATACACATGCATGTGTCTTTGTGTTAGAACAATTTATATTCCTTTGGGCATATACCTAATAATAAGATTACTAAGTCAAGTGGTACTTATGTTTTAAGTTCTTTGAGAAATCTCCACATTGCTTTCCATAATGGCTGAACTAATTACATCCCACCAGCAATGTATAAGCATACCCTTTCCTCTGCAACCTTGCCAGGGTCTGTTATATTTTGACTTTTAGTAAAAGCCATTCTGACTGGTATGAGATGGTATCTCATTTTGGTTTTGATTTGCATTTATTTAATGATTGGTGATGTGGAGTATTTGTTTAGGTTTGTTGGCCACCTGTATGTTTTCTCTAGCAAAGTGTCTGTTCATTCCCTTTGCCCACTTTTTAATGGAGTTGTTTGTTTTTTATTTGTTAATTTGCTTAAGTTCCTTATATATTTTGGATATTAGGCTTTTGTTGGATGCATGGTTTGCAAATCACACATAAATAGAGGAAGATTTCAATACCCTACTGACAGCATTAGACATATCCTCAATGCAGAAAACTAACAATGATATTTGAAACCCAAACTTAACATTTGAGTAAATGTGCTTAACAGACAACTATAGAACTCTCCACCCCCAAAAAAAGAATATACAGTTTTCACATCTGGATATGGCACACACTCTAAAATCAACCACACAATTGGCCGTGAAACAATTCTCAGCAAATTAAAAATAAAAAGTAAAAAAAGTATACCAAACACACTCTCAGACCACAAAACAATAAAAAATAGAAACCAATACTAAGAAAATCACTCAAAACTATACAATTATGTGGAAATTAAACAACCTGTTCCTGAAATTTTTTTATTAAACAATGAAATTAAGGCAAGAAATTAAGATATTCTTTGAAACTAGTGAGCACAAGCATACAGCATACAACAATCTCTGGTGAAAAGCAGCGTTAAGAGGGAAGTTTATAGTGCTAAACACCCACATCAAAAAGTTAGAAAGATCTCAAATTAACAACCTAACATCACACTTAGAGGAATTAAAGTAAAAAGGGCAAACTAAACCCAAAGCCAGAAGGAGACAAAAAATAACAAAAATCAGAGCTGAACCAAAAAAATTGAGACACAAAAATCCATACAAAAGGTCAATGAATCCAGAAATTTGTTCTTTGAAGGAATAATACAGAAAAAAAAGAAAAGGTCCAAATAAATGCAATAAGAAATGACAAAAGCGACATTGCCACTAACTCCACAGCAAACCCTCAAAGACTACTAAGAATACCTCTATGCACACAACCTGGAAGAAATGCATAAATTCATGGAAGCATACAACTTCTCAGGATTAAACTAGGAAGAAATTGAATCCCTGAACAGACCAATAATGACTTCTGAAATTAAGCCAGTAATAAAAACTCTGCTTGCCAA
This sequence comes from Homo sapiens, assembly GCF_000001405.40. Classification (NCBI taxonomy): domain Eukaryota; kingdom Metazoa; phylum Chordata; class Mammalia; order Primates; family Hominidae; genus Homo; species Homo sapiens. Next base: position 103,057,897 of record NC_000006.12, on the reverse strand, counting down.
AAATCCCAGGACTTGACAGACTCAGAGCCAAGTTCTATTAGATGAACAAACAAGAGCTGGTACCACTCTTACTAAAATTATTTCAAAAAATTGAGGAAGATGGACTCCTCCCAAATTCATATTATGAGGCCAGCCTCATACTGATACTAAAATCTAGCAGTGACACAACAAAAAAGGAAAACTTTGGCCAATATCTTTAATTGAACACTGATGCAAAAATTCTCGACAAAATATTAGCAAGCCAAATTCGCCAGCACATCAAGAAGCTAATCCATAACAATCAAGTAGGCTTTATCCCTGGAATGCAAGGTTGGTTCAACATAAGCAAATCAACAAATGTGATTCATCACACAAACAGAATAAAAAACAAAAATCGCATAATCATCTCAATAGATTCAGAAAAGGCTTTTGATAAAACTCAACATACTTTCATGTTAAAAACATTCAACAAATTAGGCATTGAAGAATTATACCTCAAAATAATAAGAGCTATCTCTGACAAACCCATAGCCAATATCATACTGAATGAGCAATAGCTGAAAGCATTCCTCTTGAGAACCAGAACACAACAAAGATGCCTACTCTCACCACTCCTATTCAACATAGTACTGGAAGTCCTAGCCAGAGCAATCAGGCAACAGAAAGATATAAGAGGCATCCAAATAGAAAGAGAGAAAAATCAAACTGTCTCTGTTTGCAGACAATGTGATTTTATATCTAGAAAATCCCATATTATCTGCTCAAAAGCTCTTTGATCTGATAAACAACTTCAGCAAAATTTCAAGATACAAAATCAATGTACAAAAAGCAGTAGGATTACTATACACAAATAACGTCAAAGCTAAGAGCCAAATCAAGAATTCAATCACATTCACAATACCCACAAAAAGAATAAAATACCTAGGAATACAGCTAATCAGGAAGGTGAAAGATCCCTATGATGAGAATTACAAAACACTGCTCAAAGAAATCAGAGATGACAGAAACAAATGGAAAAAAACTTCATGCTCATAGGTAAGAAGATTCAGTATCATTAAAATGGCCATACTGCCCAAAGCAATTTACATATTTAATTTAATTAAACTGAACAGTTTGAAATTTATATGTCATTGTTCACACAATTAGAAATAAAAGTATTTTCAAATTCATTCATATGGAACAACAACAACAAAAAAAAGCTCAAATAGCCAAGACAATATGAAACAAAAGGAACAAAGCTGGAGTCATGATGTTACTTGACTTCAAACTATACCACAAGGCTACAATAAGAAAAACAGCATGGTATTGGTACAAAAACAGAAACATAGACCGGTGGAAAAGAGTAAAGAGCCCAGAAATAAAGCTGCATACCTACAACCATCTGATCTTCAAAAAAGTGGACAAAAACAAGAAAAGACTCCATATTCAGTAAATGGTGCTGGCATAACTGGCTAGTTATATGCAGAAGATACTTCAACATATACAAAAATCAACTCAAAGTGGATAAAGACTTAAATGTAAGACATAAAACTATAAAAACCCTTGAAGATGACCTAAGAAATACCATTCTGGACATAACCCCTGGTAAAGATTTAATGACAAAGATGCTGAAAGCAAGTGCAACAGAAACAAAAAATTGACAAATTCAACCAAATTAAACTAAACAGCTTCTGTATAGCAAAAGAAACTATTGGAATAAAAAGACAATCTGCAGAATGGGAAAAAATTCTTTTTTAAAAAATACAAAAACAATTTTAAAAATCAAGGTAAAGTATGGAAAATCACAAAATCAGTAGTCTGTTAATTGCCATGTGAAGTCTCCATAAAGCCTGATTCCCAGGCTGCACTACTACCAAATAATCTGTTTCTTTAATACACAATTTCATAATACATATATGAAACCCCTTAAAATCCATATGCATTTTCAAATATTTTACCTAAAATTCCACGTATAATTTAAGAGCATTTAAACATGTGCTATAGAATTGGGGGAGAGGGGGATCTGACAAAATGAAAATGTATGTAAGAAAATCTGTCTATACTAAAATACCTTGTACAAGATGAGGGTAAAATAAATATAGCAGATGGCATTTTATTTTCTTTAAAGACAAAGCACTTTATTAGGTCAAATAAGTCATGAACATATGAAAAGGTAATTTTCAGTCTATTTTTCTTTGTTTTCCCTCTTTGTACATAGACATAATTACAGGAAATATTTCACTTTATTTCTAGCATTTCTAAAGGAACAACAATGCAGCAAATGTTACTATGAGTAACAATTGACTGTCAACCTTATTGTTTATATAACAGCTGAGCATGTACTATATCCATAGTGGGTGGGTGGCTTATATTAATATCAAATGACTCTTAACATGCAAGAACTCAGGCTCTTTTCTTGATTTTCTGTTGTTGTTTTCTACCAAAATAATTGAGAGATACTGGCTTTCAAGCATAAAATTTCCTCATCTTAAATATTGACAATAATTTGCACCTTATAATCTTTTGTTCACCTGATACAGACAGGAAGCAGGGAAATACTGGGTAGAAAAGTGTTGGGTCCCTGGTGAGAGTTCCACCGTCAAGCCTGGACCCACAGCCCTAAATGAGAACCTCACATCCCCATCTTCCTGCTGGAATGTTGCCTTTTGGCATGGTCTGCCACTCCTCCTATCCTGTACCCATTAAAACCACTAGCTCCACTGGCAGAGGAGCAGAATGGCATGGCAGAGAAGGACAGAAGAAAGAACCATCTGACTGTCAAGAGAAGAGGCAGCTGGACATCAGACAGTATTGTTGGAGAGGAGATTGGCCAGGGATGGCCAAACTCCAGGGGAAGACCACCTTCTCATTCCATCCGCTTTCCACCTCCCCATCCCATTGAGAGCCACTTCCCACTGCCCAATTAAATCTCCACATTCACTATCATGCAAATCTGTGTGACCTCATTCCTCTTGGGAGGAATTTGGTATGCACTGGGTGTGGGAACCCATGCTCCCTCTTGTAAGGTGTTGAGCATGGTGACCTAGTAAAGGAGCCACCCTTGTCGCAAGTCCTGCAAAGGGTTCAAGGAAACTATCTTGTTTCACTATGAGGACCAAATTGACCGCATCTGTAGGCCACATTTGGTTTATAGTCCATAAATCTATGGTTTCTGAGAACATTTCAGCAAAGAGGAAACAGTGAAAATAAAATCCTAAAAAGAGTAACCCAGAGTTAATACACAGATAAGTTAGAATGAGCAAATATCATTTCACATGGGTGATAAGAAATATAATGTCTTATGTACAAAATATTTATCATACAAAATGCTTTACAGAATTTATTTCATTTAATACAAATAGCATGTAGTTCAATGTTTTACCTCCATCTTTTATAGCAAGTTAACTGAAACTTAAAAAGCTAAATAACATGACTGTTTTAGGTAGGGTTACCCAGGAGGAGATTTTGAATAAAGATATTTTAGTACAAGTTATTTATTAGGTAAGTAATCTCGTGAAGCACTGGTGGGAATGCAAAGTGAGACAAGGAAAGGAAGAAAGTCAATACAGAGTGGCTTAATGCACAGATTACAGTACAACAGGATAGATAATGTTGACTATAACGTGCCTCAAAATTGATCTACCCTGACCCTCTTCTCCCAAAAATAAAGGAAGTGGGCTATGTATCCACCATTCCCACTTGCCATTGGTTAAAGACTACCCTCAAGAACGTTAGTTGCCTGGTGCTCCTGACATGGCCCATGCTATTGCTGGAAAACATCTCTATGGCTAGAGGTAGTTCTCAGGTATTAGGTAGTAGGAGTTTGCAGAATAAGCATATAAACATGTATGGATCCCTTGAGTATCAAGGGGTAATGGGGTTTCAACCACATCTGCTACACTCAACCAAATTAGCATAAGCATTTAAGCAAGGGATGGGAACAAAACCAGGAGATGGAATGAGTGAAGCAGACAAAGAAATGTAAGATTATAGGTAAAAGCTGGAACATTATGGTATCATAGAATTCAAGTGTAGGTAGAATGGAATATTTATGCAAATTAATGGGATCAAATATATTATCCATTAATTGATAAAATGCATTATATTGTTTTGGGAGAAACTATCAAAAGTTCAAATTGTCTAGACTCATGTCAGAACTTGCAATCATGTTGGGGATTAGGTTTCAACACATGAATTTTAGAGGGAACATAAACTTCAGAATGCAGAAATAGGCTTTGAAAGCAGAGTCTGGTTGTACATCATTAACCAGCACAGAAAGGAATAACCCCTGCCAAGTAGCAAGACAGCTTGCTAATTGTGCACTCACTGGAAACAACAGGTAATATTCACACAGAAAGTCATAATATGAAAAATAAATCAAAGTTCAGAACCCTTAAAAATATTCACATTATCTGTTACTTTGTCCACCCTCTGCTGCTTAAAAATTATGTAGTATACTTTTTTCTACTGTATAAAGCTAGCTAAATATTTACTTTCCTGAGTTTCAACTTTCTGTGTCCACTAGAAGAATCTTTTAATACAAATAACAAAACTTTGTCTCAAGTCTTGGCTGCATGACCCATGAGAAAAGTATCTAAAAGAACACTGGATCTGTCAGAGAGATAACTGTTGCTTAGTAGCACATATTGGAGTGCCACTTTAGAAAAGAAAGATATATTGATGTGTGGAGTTAGATTTCCCAGAGAAGCAGTTTACACCATGCTCTGCAAAGTATTTATCTGGCAGTCAGTAAATGACACTGATGATGGTGATCTGTTGGATTTACAAGAGTACCTGAAGGAACTATCACACCTAACTGATAAGCTGAGAAAAAGCAGTGAGAAATAGAATTGGGACCACGAGAGCACCACTTGATAAATTGCCCAAAGCTCAGAGTCCATGAAAAAAGATTGAAGTTTCTACTGAGGATTGATTAATTGGTGATGCCAATAATATTGAAATTTCAAATTTTGGCCAAATACCAAACAGATGTTGCTTAATGAACACTAAATGTTTTGCTTTTCAAAATTCTTACCCTTATTTAGGAAACAGTCAAACAGAAAAATCTACCAAAGGCAAATCCACTTTAACATAAAATGTACCAACACAAAATGACCCAAATCACTGCACATTAACATACCACATCTTAATAAACAAAATCTTTCATTAAAATGTTTTGGGATTGATGACAGCAAATGAAAAAGAAAAATAGAAAACTAAAAACTAAGATTCTTAGAAGAATTGAAAATGATAAGAAATTAAGATTGATGGTAAATCTCTGTATATACTAGGGAGGAAAGTATGACTTACTATTTAATTTTGTGCATTTGCTATATGGGACACCCACAGGTATACTACTCTCCTTGTTCCGAGGCCCCATCAGCCTGCAACTCAGGGCTACCTTAAACTCAGCAGGCTCAATGGAAAGAAAGAGTGTAATTCTCATAAAGCCAAATCACACAGAACTTCAGTAGGAAAAAGAAAGTGAAATAAGTTCAAGATAAAGCAAAGAGCTCAGGGAGCAGAATTGAGAAGAGTTTCATCTATAAATAAAAGCGGCAATGCTACATTGGCCCAATTTATTTTGAAGACACTATTCTTTGATGATTGCCTATACAGTAGCACCTAGGTTTGACTCCTAACGGATTCATCGAGCATTCTTTTGCACTTATTCTCTTCTCTGTTGAATGCTGAATTTCAAGTTGCTGGATAACCTAGGGGAGCTTATTGTCATGGATACAGTTAGAAGTGATTGTTAAAATAGACTCTGAAATGTTTATTTTTCTAAGTGTTCATTTTGAATACTTGTTTACAGTTCTTTTTCATTTTCAATTTGCTCATACAGTACCATTTCAGCTCTCCATGTCTCTGGTTTTAACACTTAACACCAAACCAGAGAAACCAGAGGTTTAGCTATTATAACTGAAATTTCTGCACTTAATTGAATGCTATAAGTACTACCCCTAACATTAGTCACCTTCATTGTTATAAGACTCTTATCTCAATTTAGATTAATATTGACCTTAGATTTAACAAGGTAATAGAAAATGATTATCAATAACTATATCAAATCAAGAAAAGGAATAGATCATGAAAAACATTAACTATTTTTAATGTTTTATTACTATGTTGAATTGCATTGATTCTATAAATGCAGAGTTCAGTAGCAAGATTAAAATAGCAGTAGGAATATTTCAAATATGTTGACAGACACAACCTCAAGGTAAACTCTCTTCATTTCCCCATGTTTGTTGGGCTTTAGAAATGCAAGCACAAGAAGTATAATTGGTTAGCATAATGCCAAAGTCTTTCAGAACTTGAGAAATATGCTTCATCACTTATTATTACTAACATTAATGACAATAAAATATACTCAGCATATCATTTTAAAAAATATCCACTCCTAAATAATTCTTATAGTCTATGACATCACAATTCTGTGAAAGAGAAAATGTGCAACTATATGTGTAATACAGATAAAAATAAATTTTCCAAGACCTCATGTTAATATATGTAAAGTTCAAAATTAGAATCTTCCCCGCTGTTTTTTCTGCAATAACCAAATTCAAACAACACACTTGGTTTAAATTAGTTGGTAAAAATCATTTATTATACCATTCAGAACCTGGCACAACAGGCACTGTTATACATATTACAGGAATAGATGTTTGATAATGAATGACTGTCATCTCTTCAACTATATCTTTTTACCAAAATAGTTCCACTATGGATTGATTTTCATAATTTGATATGTTATCATTACATTAGAGATTGCTTCACAGAGGCTGAACCTCTATCTCTAACTTCCAATGTAACATCTGGCACATAGCAAGTGATCAATGTACAGTTTTGAATAAATGGATAATTGGATGGCTGGAGAAAAAGCTACTGGATTGTCTGCCCAGTTAGAAGAATGCATTTAAAAAATTTTTGGAATTTTGGTATACGGAATTATTATTCAATTGTTTAAGATGAACAATGAAAAACTAAGAAATTCTTAATTTTATCTACAGCAATTATAATCCAACTTTAGAATATATAATGGTGACTGTTATTGGCATTATTCATTTCTGGACTCTACTTCTGATAAAATAATTCAATATATTTAGGTTTGGATCTAAGAATTTGCATCTTCACTGATTTAAATTTATTATAATACAGGCTGTCTATGGTTTGTATTTTAAGTGATACACTTATTTACCATATAGCTTTAATCAGAACAGTCATTTTTTCAAAATTTCTGAGCAAATAAAGCAGTTAAACTTCAGAGTCTAATACAACTAGAAGCATTAAGTTGATCTCTGTACCCCTGTCAGAAGTCTTATAAAGCCAATTAGTATTGCTATAACACAAAAATAATAAGAAGAAAACAATCAAAAATTTAAGTTTATCTGAAGTGTGCAGGGCTTTAAAATGTAAGGCATAGCTCTTGATTTAACATGCCAGAGTTAAAATCCGGGCTCTCTCTTTTAGTTGTAATTCCATAGGTACACACACCCCAGAGGTACACAGTATGACAATTTTTTTTCCTTGAGGGGTAGAAGTTTGTGCATAGAATATTCAGGTTCTAGAATAAAAGAATTTTCAAGCACACTAAAGTAAGAAAGCACCATGAACCAGCATTCCCATTTCCTTTAATAAAAAGGTATTCGTTGTGCATTTGTTTACCAGGTAAATAATAATTAATAGGGCATACTTCAGCCACTTTACTGAGGACAAACCTATTGTTGTCTGTATCTTTGATAGAACAGATTGTACTGTACAGAAATAATTGATTATTAACATTTTTAAAAAAGCCTCTCATGAGAAAAGAACCAATGACTGAAAATTCTCTTTCAGACAGAATAAAAATATGGAACTATCCATCTTATAGATTTCTCTGCCTTTTGCTGTTCTGCGTTTTCTTCTGTCATCAATTATTTTAAAAGCACCAATTAATTAAAATATCATCGCTTGTCAGTCAAAATGGATATACCTCTTATTTTGTCAAACACTTAAAACAAGTGATCCTCAGCATATATAAGCAACATAAGGTAAATATTTAATCATGAATAAACAAGAAAATGTTCAAAAGTAACAAGAATTTTTTTTAAGAATCTCAAATCTTTGGTTCTACCAGAATTGAAAAATGGATTTTCTCTAGTAAATACTCTAAAGAGATGTTAATCCAAGACTTTAAAAATCACAGACAAAACTACACACATGCAAAGCAATGCAATAAAATTTTATTGCAGTTTTATCCCTTTTTTAAAGCATATGTTACATGAGAAAATAAGAGGAAGAAAGAGAAATGAAATCCTGGAATTTGAAATTCGGAAGAAGTGTCAAAATCTTTCTACTTATGCCATTTTATAGGGAGGTAATAATCAAAGAATACATATCTGGATATAATAACAGCAGATAGCTATATCTCTGACACCATAATTCATGTACATTATAATGGGTAGACTTGAATTTTACATCATTTATGTAATAAGCTTCAGATTTTAACCAAGGAAATTATCACATTTTTTAATATATAAAGAATATATCATTTTATATATACAGTAAGTCCTCATTTAACATCATTGATAGGTTCTTAGAAACTCAGATTTTATAAAATGATGTATAATGAAACCAATTTTGCAAATTTTTGTATCAAGAACTCTTGTTTAAATAAGAATGAAGTTCCTGCAGCATATTTTGTTCACAAAACACCAACAAACTTCTAAATAAAAGCCAAACACTTCTAATATTAAACACCAAAATGAATATGAGCTCTACATACATTTAAAAAGATTAATAAAAACAGGTGAGATAATTATTTGCTCAGTTATTCCATTTCAGGGCCATGGTGGCTGGAACCTGTCCTGGTAGCTCAGGGTACAACTGGGCACCAACCCTGAACAGGATGCAACTCCATCAGAGGGTACACTCACATATACATACACACTCACTCTACTGGGATCATAGACACACAAATTAACCTAACACGCACATCCTTGGGTTGTAGGAGGAAACTGGAGTACTCAGATAAAACTCATGCAGACATGCAGAGAACATGCAAACTACACACAGACAGCAACCCTGGACTATAATGAATTTTTTTCACCTCATAGATGTTATAATAAAATGACATTGATTAAAATGACATTATGCTATATTTAATGTTTTTAACAAAAATGTATTTTTTAAATTTACATATACATTATATAAGATTTATATATATAATACATGATCAACATATATATATACTTAGCAATATGATTATACTCATAGCAGAGCTGATATATTCTTTGACTGAAAAAAACACAAAGTGCATCTTTAATCATTAACATAAGAATCCTAATACAAAAATTAAAATTTCATCATAAATTTTCAAAGTCAGTTTTTTGCCAAAAATTTAGTATCGACTTATTGTAGAGTTTACATGAAAAAGCAGAAGAGACAAAATGGCCAACACAATATTGATGTAGAGAACAAAGTCATAGGATTGACACTACATGACTGTAGTAATAAAGGTAGGTTGGTATTGGCTAAAGAATGGACAAATCATCAACAGCACAGAACAGAGAGCTCAGAAATGAGCCTACATAAATAGAGTTAACTGATCTTTGACAAAGAAAGATGGAAGGGCAATTTAATGGAGAAAAAATAGTCTTTAAAAAATGGTGCTAGAACAACTATAATTTCACATGTATGAATGAATGAATGAATGAATAAATCTAGGCACAGATCTTACACCATTTACAAAAATTAAATCAATTGTAGACCTAACTCTAAAAGGCAAAAATATAAATATCCTAGGAAACTAGACGACCTTAGGTTTGGTGATTATTTTTCAATTACCATACCAAATGCACTATGCAAGAAAGAAAATAATAATTTTGACTTTATTAATTTAAAAATCTACTGCTCTGCAAAAGAAACTGTTAAAACACTGAAAAGACAACACATAGCCTAGGAAGAAATATTTGCCAAACACTTATCTGTTAAAAGATTTTGAATCCAAAATATACAAAGAACTCTTAAAACTCAAGAATAAGAAAACAAGCAACCTAATTAAAAAGTGGGCAAAATGTCTGAACAGACATCTCAGCAAACAAGAGAGACAGATGGCAAAAAAGCATATGAAAGGATGCTCAACATCAAAGTCATTAGGAAACAGCAAGTTAAAATAACAATTACATACCATTCACATCTAGTAGAATGGCTGAAATCCAGAGCATCAACAACACCAACAGTGGTGAGGATGTGGAACAAAAGAAACTCTAGTTCATTACTGGTGGGAATGCAAATTGCTGCAACTTAAAAAGATTATTTGGCAGTTTCTTTCCAAACTAAACATGCTCTTACAATACAATCCAGGAATTGTGCTCCTTGGTGTTTACCAAATGGAGTTGAAAACTTATGTCCACACAGAAACCTGTACATGAATTTTATAGAACTTTATTTATAGTTGTAAAACTTGGAAGCAACCAAGGTTTCCTTCAATACATGAATAACTCCGGTACATCCCTACAATAGAATATATTCAAGGATAAAATTAATTAATTATCAAGCCATTAAAAGACAGAGAGAGATCTTAAATGCTTATTGTTAACTAAAAGAAGCCAATCTAAAAAACAATGTATACTGTATGATTCTAGGCATATGACATTCTGGAAAAGGCAAAAATCTGGAAATAGTTAAAAGAGTGGTTTCCAGAGTTTGGGGAGGAAGCAGGTGGCACAAGGAATTGTTAGGGCAGTAAAACTATTCTGTGTGAAACTGATCTAAGAGACACATGTTATTATACATTTACCAAAACTACCAGAATGTACAACAAAGAGTGGAGATTAATATGAACAATGGACATTAGTTAATAATAAGATATATTGATGCCTCTATTGTAACAAATATACAGCACAAATGAAAATGTTGATAATACAGAAAACTGGGGAATGAGATGAAATAAGAGGGTATTTGGAAACTCCACTTTCTACTTGTTTTTTAGACCAGCCTGGCCAACATGGTGAAACTCCGTCTCTACTAAAAAAATACAAAAATTAGACAGGTGTGGTGGCAGGCACCTTAATCCCAGCTACTTGGGAGGCAGAGGCAGGAGAATCATTTGAACTTGGGAGGCGGAGGTTACAGTGAGCTGAGATTGAGCCATTGCATTCAAGCCTGGGAGACAAGAGCAAGATTTTTCTTGAAAAAAAAAATAATAATATATATATTCTATTAACTAATATATATATTTATATGTCTTATAAATATTCTATTAACTAAAAACACTAATAAAAAATGAGAGACCTATTTTTAAAGAAAAACAAACCCAAACTTTTTTATTCTAAATTATCACTAGTTACCGAATTATTTTAATTATTATATATAAAACTTAAGCAAAAAATAAACTCTATGGAAACCTTTTTAAAGTACAAAATTATTCCTAGTGGCTCTAGAAAATTATAGTTAATAAATAACTTTAGAAAAATTTGGAAACACACATACATATATGCACACAAACTAATACAACAATGAAGAGGTGCAGGTTTAGGAAATTGTTTCTAACTTTATTCAATAGAAAATATTAAATGTATTCTGAAAATCAGTAGCATAATTTGAACGGATTAGTATACTTAATAAAGCTTAATTAGTATTAGAAACAGAAATCACATTGTCTCAAAAGACCTGATCGACCTGATCAAAATGAGATTTTTTTGGCATTTTTTCATACAATTTAAAAAACTTTTTATGTACAGAAAGCATATTCTTAGGGAATGACTACTCTTAGCTCATTTGTTCTAATAAAGATTTTATTCCCCTTACCCAGAGCAAGCCATATAGTCCCTTTTCCTTTTTTTCTTTTTTTTTTTTTTTGGAGTGGAGTTGTTTTGCCCTTTTTATCCAGGCTGGAGTGCAATAGCGCAATCTCGGCTCACTGCAACCTCTGCCTGCTGGGTAAAAGCGATTCTCCTGCCTCAGCCTCCCAAGTAGCTGAGATTACAGGTGCGCACCACCTCGCCTGGCTACTTTTTCATTTTTAGTAGAGACGGGGTTTCACCATGTTGGCCGGGCTGGTCTCTAACTCTTGACCTCAGGTGATCCGCCCACCTCGGCCTTCCGAAGTGCTGGGATAACAGACATGAGCCACTGAGCCTGGCCTTATAATCCCTTTTTCTAGGATAGGATTCTCCCTATATGTAATCCACAAAAATAAAGTCTTCAAAACTGAGTTCAGAAGATATTTCCATTTATTTTTCAATTGAAAATGAATTATTTACACTCTAGGTTTATCACTTTCATTATAATTCTTTGGGAATCTGCAGTGTTAGTTCTCCCTATGTTCTACCTCTGCATTCTGGTCCAGGCGGGCTCCACCATCTCCAATATTTTGGTGGTCTGAATGTTCGCTGACCTGAGAGTCACTGTAATGTCATTTTGTTTATTTACAGGCCAATATGTAGTACTATTATAATGCCTTTGGAGCAGAAAATAAACAATGTATATCTAGTTCATTGCTTTTACTGTTTGAAAATATAGCTCAATTGCCTTTGAACTCATTAATTTTCTGTGCTCTTCAATGAAATGGTGTCTCATGTAACACTTGAACAAGAGTGAATTATTTTGCCTCAGAAGATGAAGAGAAATAGTTACGCCCTATTGAACTTTTAATATAAACCCACTGCTCTTTGAAATGCTTAATGATTACAGAAAAGACCTATAGGGAGCCACCAGACTAGATATCTTTCAGAAGAATAAATAAAAAAGACAGGTAATTAAAAGCAAATTCAGTTCTTAGTTTTGCTGCTCAGTGCATATGCTCACTATGGGTTAGTAGATCAGAAGTAGCGGAGCAGAATATTAAGCTGGTGATAGCCTTTGTCTAATACAAGACAGCTATAATGTGTTTTTGACTGCAAAAATCTCAGCAATGGAAAATCTACAACCTTAACTGAAAATCCAGTACAAAAGTTGATCTGCTGAACAGCTAAAATTTGTGATAAATTTAAGTTAAAATGGTATATAATTTGAGTAACTCTGAGTGTATTATGTTAAGCTTCTTACACATAAGAACATGTCAGAAATTTCCTAGGGGCAAATATTTTAAATACTTTAGCATTTCTTCTTTTTAATATATCCTGAATTTCAAAGATTTCTAGTCCCTAACCATGTCTTAGATATACTGCCTATAAAACTAGCTAAACTTTCAAACTTCCATTTTCTGTTCTTACTCTACTGTTTGTAATATCTGTTCTGCTCAAACAGCTATATATATTTTTGTTTCACCCATAACAAACTTCATTAGAGGAAAACTGCAGGTAATTTTGACTTTAATTTTTATTTAGACAAATAGGATAAATCTGGAAATGCTACATATGATTTTGTAGTTTGTGTACTACCCAACTTTATAAGAATCATTTACAATGTACATTCTAGTTTACTTTAATGTTCCCTTTCCCTTTAATCTTGAAGTTGTGCTGCATGTAATTTCTACATCCAAACATAGTTTTGACTAGAATTTTTTATGTGGTATCAATGCAGACAGAGTTATAAATCATCAGACACTGGGATCTTCCTAAACACAACTGGTTTATTGGCATTTGGGGCACAAAGTACCTATCCAATATCCATTTTACCTTGGAATTAGAACTCTGATCAGAGTTATTGCCAGCTATGTGCCTCATTTCCCAGCTTTATTTGAAGATTACTAAGAACAATGGGATATAAGGAATAGTCACTGAATTGGCTTTCCAAGGAAGCTCTTTGAAGAAAGATAACTTTTTCATGGCCCTTTTGAAATCTCTCTTTTCTCTATTCCTGTTTGAAGCACAGAGATGATGACTGAAGCCGCAAAAGAAAACAGGTAACCAAGAGATGAGCTTGACAACAGAAACAATGCAGTAAAAATGATAGGTGTTAGAAAAAGAAATTGGGACATTCATGGTATATCAGCTATGGACTCCCTGTTTTTGAATTCTTTTATATCAAAAAATAGAAAACTTTATCTTTAAATATGTTAAATCACTTTTTTTCACAGAAATATATAATTACTAATGCGTACAATATTGCTTGTTTGAAAAATCTGAGTCAGTTCATTATATAAATTCTTAAGTACCCAGCACATACTGGGCAATTTATAGTTAATCAGTAAATATGGAGATTGCTGATACAATTGGAGATGAGAATGACTCAGGTAATTCTCAACATTTGAAGTTAAGCAAATTAGAAAATTTCTCAGCAAAAATGTCAAGAAACAGCTGTAAAACCATTTTTAGTACTGCAGTACAGATGGAAAAACAAAATCCTAGGTATTTATATTTAAGTTTTCAACCGTTGAAAATTATAAACAAAAAATCCAAGAATTGTTAGTTTGCTCCAATGTAGATCTCAAATAGATAAATGCCTTGCCTAGTATCAAAACTGGTAAAAATGCTGGAGTTCAAACATAGATCTGAAGGGTCTAACATGCCCAGGCTCTTTTTGTGTTATTTATCTTCTATATAGCTTAAAGATGAACAGAATTAATATATGCTTCATAATGTTTGATAAAGTGATTTATTTATTTATTTATTTATTTTTATTTTTATTTTTTTCTGAGACGGAGTCTCTCTCTGTTGCCAGGCTGGAGTGCAGTGGCGTGATCTAGGCTCACTGCAACTTCCACCTAATGAGTTCAAATGATTCTCCTGCCTCAGCCTCCTTAGTAGCTGGGACTACAGGTGCGTGCCACCATGCCTAGCTAATTTTGTATTGCACCATGTTGGCCAGGATGGTCTCCATCTCTTCTCCTCATGATCCACCCACCTCGGCCTCCCAAAGTGCTGGGATTACAGGAGTGAACCACCATGCCCGGCCGATAAGGTGATTTTCTTATGGAAAATAACAAACGATTTCCATAGGGAAAAAGATGATGATGATGTACCAAAAATATGTTTCAATTTTCCCAACAAAATGTAGTCATTAAAATTCACTAATTTATAAAACAAAATCATACAACCCTTTCTGCTTTTGCAGTTTTTTGCTTTTGGTAAAAATTTGCCAGTTGTTTAATAAGAGTGAGTGTCACTATATACTTTTGAAGTGATAACATAAAACTTGGAAATAAATAGCTTGAGACGTGGTAGAGTTGAGTCAGCTGTGATTGACTGCCCCAATTTTTCTAACAACCCTTTTACATGCCTTTTACAATATAATTTTGCAGATTTCGCCTCATCTCTATTAAATGGTAGAGTCTAGTTTGATACTCCTTGAATCTGAAGGAGCCAGATGGCTTATTTTAACAGTAATTTTAATTTTATTGTCAGTGTGATATTTCTGAACCGAGGCCTCAAGGGACTTGACAAGCGTCTAGAATCTCTTCTGAACCTCTTTTGTCTTACCATGAGAACAAGCCATTGCTATCGTGCTGGATGATAAATGTCACTTGGAAGAGAGCCAAGGAACCCCAGCCAAGAACCATATAACCCCCAGATGCAAATCCACCCAGCTGATTAGCAGCCACTTAAGTGAGACCACCTGAAACAACAAAAACCTCTCCCCACAGCCTACTTTTGATCAGCGAATTATCGTTTTAAATTACTCAATAATTTTGGAGTGCTTTGTTACACAGCAATATTGTGGCAACAAATAACTTATACAACAGCCCCAAATGAGTACATTATTCTGAGTTAGTAGGCAAATGTTCTAATTTTGGTGCAATCATGTGATTAACTGAAGTGTAATTTTAATTAGTATAGATAGTAAAAGAAAAATGAATTTGACAAGAAAAAATTAGTTCAATTATAAACTTCAGCAAATACTACTGGTACAAATATGGACTATTAATTAACTTTTGTGTACATTACTTTCCTCATCTATAAACTGAGCCTAATAATATCTACCCTTTATGATGCTTGCAAGTTAAACTGTTTTTATTCGCAATAAAGCTATTAGAAACAAAATAATATGAATATTTTTAATTCTTTAGTCATGGACCCACACGGAAATTCTATGAGCTAACATGTTAGACATCTAGCACTCAACCTACATGCATTACAAAAATATTATTTAAATATTACCTAAAAGTATTATCACGATTAATTAATAAGTATAAGCAAAAACTCTGAAGCTCAGGCAATGAAAATATTTTATTAATCCTTTAAGTAAAGTAGAGTTTAAATATGGGAATTTTTATTTAAATTGTTATTTAATTTTAACACAAAAAGCTATATTCATTGGCTACACAGATAAAATATTTTTAAATATAGATAAATTCAAATTTTAAAATACATTTTAAACATAGGATATCTAGCAACTTTTGAAAAAGCATATGAAACTTCATTTATATGAATAGTATTGCAAGCAAGATCTCATTGACTAAAACCAATTACATGAAATATTCCTATGCAAAAATAATATTAAATAAGATTTTCTGTTAATAGTCATTTTCTCTAAAGTATTACTTTGGAACATACAAAAGTAAATAAATGTATTTTACATCACAATTATACACCATGGCCAAGTATGGTTTATTCCACAAATACAAGACTGCTGATATATTCCAAAGTCAATCAATATAATCAACCACATCAATAGACTAATGAAGAAAAAATACACGATCATATCAAGTAATATAAAAAACATAGAGACATAGAGAATAACAAAGACTTACAATCTAGGACTAATAAGTAACTTAACAAAGTCACGGGATACAAAATACATACACAAAAATCAAATATCTTTTAATATACTAGTGATAGATAGATAGATGCAGGAGGAAGGTAAGGGAACCTGCCCAGGGCCTTGTCTGGGCATACCCACACAGGACTGGTGCCCCGCTTGCACACTGGGAGAATGGGGTGCAGCCACTGGGAATTCGTGCATTATGCAGGGGAGAGGAGCCTGGCCTCTTCAGCTCCTGTGTAGTGGCCTGGTATTCAATCTGTGAGGTGGCAGCCTGTTGGCAGGGCCCCCTCTTTTTGCTAAGAGCTTTCTTTCAATAAATTTTGCTCTCCTCATTTTTCAATGTATCCGTGTGCCTATAATTTCCTGGTGGTGGGACAAGAACCCAGATTTTAGCTGAACTAAGGTGAAAAAATCCTGCGTCACTAGCAATGATATGTAGAAACCAAAATTTAAAAACAATGCCATTTGAAATTGTTCCAGTGAAAATGAGATGCTTAGACACAAATCTAGCAAACCAGGTACAGGACTGGTATGCAGAAAAATTACGAAAATGCTCATCAACTTAATAAATGAGGAAAAATACTATATTTATATTTTGGGAAATTTGACATAGTTAAGATGTCAATTCTCCCTAAACTGATTGTTAGTTTTTATGCAGTTACTATTAAATACCAACAAGTGATTTCAGATATATCAACAAACATTCTAAAATTTATATAGAAAAAGTACTAGAATATCTAGAAAAATTGTTTAAAAGAACATAGTGAGAGGAAACACTGCCTAATTTTAAGACTTAACTATGTTTCTACAACAATCAGGACAGTGTGGTATTGCAAAAAGATCGAAGAAAGAGTAGAAAAGGTGGAAATAGACAGGTATGAGTATGCAAATTTTGGCAAATTTTCAAAAACGACTAAATGAAACATGGGTAACTTTTCAACAAATCTCAGACATAGTACCTACCATCAAAATAATATGTAAAAGAAAATATTTAAAAACTGTACTTCATCAAAATTGAAAATAAATGCTTCATTAAAGACCCTCTTGAGAGGATATATAAACAATTGCAAACCAGGAGAAATCGGTTGCAGCCACATACTGAAAGTAACTATCTCAAATCTATAGAGAACTCTTAAAACTTAATAGTAAAAATATAATAAATTTAATTAGAAAATGGACAGAAAGCATAAGCAGACATTTCATTAAAGAGGATGTACTGATGGCAAGTAAGCATATGAAGGTATGATCAACATCATTAAGCAATAGGGAAATGAAAATTAAAATAACAATGATTATCACTATATATGAATACTTAAATTTAAAAAGTAACTATAATTCCAAATGCTGTCCAGCATAAAGAGACCCTGCATTTTTATACATTGCTGCTGATAATCTACAATGGTACAACACTCCAGAAAATAGTTTTGATATTATTTTATAAAACTAAAATACACATACTATATGACTTAACAATCACATTCCCAGACATTTTATCTTATCAAAATGAAACATGTTCACACAAAAACAAAAAAACTATATACAGATATTCATGGAAGGTTTAATTATAACTACAGCAAGCTTTATTTGTAAAAACTGTAAACAAGCCTGTTGTCCCTCAATCAGTAAATGATTAAACAAACTGTGTGCATCCATATCATGAAATATTACTCAAAAATAAAAGAAATAATGTATTAACACCTGGAGCAATTATCAATACCAAGGGCATTATGCTGAGCGAAAATGCCAATCTCAAAAGGCTGCATACAAAAAATAAATAAATTTAAAAAGGGCTACATTCTGCATAATTCCACATAAGATTTCCTAACACTGAAATGGAAAGCAGATTAGCTGTGACAATCTAGGAACAATGAGGTAGGTGCAACTGAAAAATGGTGGTATAATGCAGTTTCTCTGGGGTGATAAAATAGTTCTTTTTCTTGCTTGTTAGCTGCTGAAACAAATATATATATATATATATATATATATATATATATACACATACACACATATATGACAAAATTTTAAAGAATCACACACACATTGACACAAATGAGTATAGGTAAAAATTGGTGAAATCTGAATAAGATCTTCAGTTTAATAACAGTTTTTTACCAATGTCAATTTCTTGGTTTTCTTTCTGTCATATAGATAAGTGAGCTGTCACTATTGGTGGGAATATAGAGAATCAGTAAAGGATTCTCTGCACCCTTTTTGCAAATTCCAGTGTGTCTATAATTATTTCAATATTAAAAATGTACACAAATATCCTCTAGATTTTTACATTTTTTTTCATTTTGAATAAGCCACAATTTGATACTTAGCTTAATACAGGTTAAAGGAGAATGTCTTCACATCTCAGCCCCTATGACTTTGCAGTTCTAATGTTTCAGACAAGTATTTGTAATTAACCAAAGATACTGTATTATTAACTAATTTTGCTGTTCTGGTGGCATTGTATATTCTATATTTGCCTCCTTTGACCTCTACATGTGGCCAACTCTTGAAACTACAGACAAATAATATCTGTTCTGGAAAGTTATCTTAGAATTACATCTATACCTGTAGCTGTGTTCAAATGCATACTGTGATACTTGTTTTGTTACTTTGGAGTGTATGTTCCTTTAAATATGAGGATACAAAGTTTAGGTAAGAACTTCGCTCAGTATTTCCATCTCCTTCTGTGGCACATAGAATATAGTAATATAGTTGACAATAAATAATTAAATGTATAGACAAACAAACTAAAATTTTGTGGAGGAATCCTATCTTCTAGAAGTTGACTGATTTCATGATCTGGTTTAAAGAAGCCTTATTTTTCAAATGAATCTGAAATGTTAATACAACGTTGAAGTTAAGATTTTGTTACTGTTGTTGTCTATTATAAAATCCTTCAGAAATTAATTTATTTGGTGAGTCAAATTATTAAGTATTGAACTCAAGGGAGTCATTTTCATGACTATTTTAACTATCATTCTTACACCAGATATTTTATTTGACTTCTGAAGTTTCTTAAAATATTCATGTAAGTAAATTTTCTATAAAATTTTTTTGGGATAACCAAATTTGAGAACACTTATTTCTTACCTGACAATATATAATATCTCAAGAGTTTAATTCTTGATATTATACTTACTGGGATATATCTTCTATGATACTGCGTGCAGTTCCTCTGCTCTTATGCATTTCCAGTGACTTGCAACAGTATTTCCTTAACTTGCAATTCAAAACACAATTCATTGATCCTATGTACTGGGAATTTTTGTTCTATTTCCTGGGAATTTTAAATTTAAATCTGCAGACTATAAATGAAAAATTCAGTAAGAAGCGTTGTGAGTTTCTTATTCTTCATTTAAATATCTTCACTTGAATTAGAGAAGTAAATACTTTGTTTTCTGAAAATGTTTATATAGCAAGATGTTCTTTTTATTATCTGTCGAAATTTCACATTCCAGTAGTTTAATATAAAAGCTAATTTGTTTCTAATTACGCAAATTCCTTTTACATTCTGCAGTTTTGATGAACAGGTACAGAAAATTGCAACACATATGATTTTTTTAATTGAACAGATGCTAAGATTACAAAGGTTGCTATTAGTAGTAAAATATTTATGAAAAACATACACTACGTAAATAGAGTCTACAACAAAGTCTGTTGAAAAGCCTGAAAGCCTATGTGTGCCAATGTGATTAAAAAGATAAGACAAAGTTTTGTCTATTTACAGATATCCTTGCATATATGATATGCTTAAGAATGTCTTTATATAAACATAATTTAAATAAATAGTAAGTAAACAATAAGATATAAGAAATATAAGAATTTGGGAATGGTGCAAACAGATTAGGAAAGCATTCACTTATAAAAAGTGAAAAGGAGGGTAACATTAGAAAGATGGTAGAATAGGTGGTCCTGGTACTCATCCCACCACCACAGAAACACTGATTTAACAACTGCATAGGGACCAGAATATCTTTGTGGAAACCCCAGAATTCAGGCGAGAAGTTGCCTCAACTCAGCAGAACCCAGAGGCAATAAAAGCTACATGGAAACAAACATGTTTAGTGTCACTAAGAAGAGTACTGTCACTTTGCCTGCACCTCCCCCACCCAAGTGAGCACATTACAAAGCCAGAAGATATCCTCACAATTTGAGACTTTTCCTGTAGGGGAAGGAAAGAGATGAGATGTGTCCAATAAGGCTGCCTGAGAGAGCTGCTCCTGTCTTTCTTCATCCAGAGTACTGTGAGACCTGGCATAGTTGTAATTCCAAGGGGCAGTTAAGAACTGAATGAAGAGCAGGTAGCTCTCAGAAGCTGGCAAGGCACCCAGCAACTGACGTGAATTGCAACTGCCCTCATAAGTCCTAGGAGCTGGAGCAGACCGCAGTAGATGGTGTAACCTCCAGTTACCCAAAGCAACCTACAGGTTCAATGTTATTCCCATCAAAATCCCAATGGCATTTTATTTTTTTGAGATGGAGTCTAGCTCTGTTACCCAGGCTGGAGTGCAGTGGCACAATCTCGGCTCACTGCAAGCTCCACCTCCTGGGTTCAAGCCATTCTCCTGCCTCAGCCTCCAGAGTAGCTGTGACTACAGGCGCCTGTCACCACATCTGGCTAATTTTTTGTATTTTTAGTAGAGACAGGGTTTCACCATGTTAGCCAGGATGGCCTCAATCTCCTGACCTTGTGATCCATCTGCCTCAGTCTCCTGAAGTGCTGGGATTACAGGCATGAGCCACCATGCCCGGTCCCAATGGCATTTTTTATAGAAATAGAAAGAAAATCCCCAAATTCACACAGAACAGCAGAAGACCCGAATAACCAAAATAACACTGAGAAAAAAGAACAACACTGGAAGCATGATGCTTTCTAATTACAAAATATGGTAGAAAGCTACAGTAATTAAAACAGTGTGGTACTTACATAAAGTCAGCCATAAACCAATGAAACAGAATAAAGAGCCCAGAAATCAAACCATACATGTATGATCAACTGATCTTTGACAAGGGCCTGAGAACATATAGTGGGAAAAAGAATGTCCCTTCAACAAATTTGGTTGAGAAAACTAGATATCTATATGCAAAAGAATGAAAGTGGACCTCTATTATGTATCATACACAAAAATCAACTCAAAATGTACTGGATTTAAATGTAAGATCTGAAACTGTACAACATGTAGAAGAAAACATATGAGAAAAGCTTCATGACATAGGTCTTGAAATACTTTTATGTGTATGACACCAAAAGTCCAAGCCATAAAAGGAAAAACATACAAAGGAGTCGACATCAAACTAAAAAACTCTCTAGCAAAGAAAATCATTAACAGAGTGAAATGCTGTTAGTCAATGGTTGCCTTTTCACTTTCCATTTTCTTTCAAGTGGAAGAAAATATTTGAAAACCATATATTTGATAAAGGCTTAGTATGCAAAATATATAAGAAACTCCTACAACTCAAGCAAAAAAAAAACTTTATTTAAAAATTGCAAAAAAAAATCATTTTCTAGAAATACATATATATACAATATACATACAAAATGTATATTGTATATATACAAATGACCAAAGGTTTATGTAAAGGTGCTCAATATCTTTAATCATGAGAGAAATGAAATTTCAAACCACAGTGAGATATAGCCTTATGCATGCCGGGATTGTTATTATCAAAAAACAAAAATATTTTAGCACCAAGTATTGCTGAGGCTGCAGAGAACCTGGCACCCTTTTATACTGTTTGTGTGAAAGTAAAATGGTGCAGACACGAAGGAAAACAGTATGAAGATTTCTCAAAAAATGTTTTGAAAATCCACACTCTAATCCAGCAATCCAAATTCTGTGTATGTAGTCAAAAAATTGAAATCAGGATCTTGAGGAGATATGTGTGTCCTCACGTTCACTGCAGCATTCTTTCCAATAGGGGAAATATAGAAACAATTCAAATGACTGAAATGCTCATTGGCAGAAGAATGAATAAAGAATATATGGTATGTACACATTCAACATTAAAATAAAAGGAAATCCTACAATTTGTAAGAACATGGATGGATTTGAAAGACATTATGTAAATGAAATAAGACAATCATAGAAAGATAAATGTGAAATGATTCTATTTACATTAGGGCTCTAATTTGAATGTGTCACTCGCAATTCATGTGATGGAAACAATTCCCAATGCTACAGTGTTGAGAAGTGGGAACTTTAAGCAATGTTTAGGTCATGATAGCTCTTCTCTCATGAATAGATTGATGTGGTTTTCTTCAGAGTGGGTTCGTAACTGTGTGATTGTGTTCCTGATAAAAGGATGAATTTGGTGCCTCTCTCTCTCTCTCTCTCTCACATATGCTCTTTTGCCATTCCACCTTCCACCTTCAGCCATGGGAAGATGCAGCAAGACAGCCCTCACCAGATGTGGACCCCTCGACCTTGAATGTCCCACCTTCCAGAACTGTAAGAAAGAAATTTCTGTTCTTTATAAATTACCCAGTTTCATGTATTGTTATAGCGGTACAAAACAGACTAATACAATGAAGTTTGTAACATAATCAAACTCATAGAAGAAAAACATGGAATGATTGTTGACAGGAACTGACGAAGTTGGGGGGAATGGGAAATTATTATTCAATGGCTACAAGGTTACATTTATATAAGATGAATAAGCTCTAGAGATCTGCTGTACAACATAGTGCCTATAGATAACAATACAGTATTGTGCACTTAAAAATTGTTAAAGTGATGGATCTTAAGTGTTCCTTACAACAAAACAATCAAACAAGCAAACAAAAGCAGGGAGACACAAGGAAATATTTGGCCTTTAGAGGTGATGAATGTATTTATTACTTTGACTATGGTGATGGTATTATGGGTATCTGAGTTTTACCAGTAACTGCATATACATTAAATACATGCAGTTATTTTTATATTCATTATCTTATCAAAGCTGTAAAAAAGTAAAAAGGAAGTACAACACTTATGTATTTCATTGTTGATAGAAATGACTTTATTTATTTATTTATTTATTTTCTTATTAGCCAGTTTCTGGTGATAATGCCATTTGAGTACTGGGAATATTTAGTTAATAATAAAAAAGTAATAAAGTTTGACTAAGGATCAAATTTCAACTGGATAAAGAATTGACCTCTTTTCTAATTTAGTTCCCAATACTCAGTGTTCATATATGTTCACGGTATAAGCTTGCTGTCTGACTCTTCTCATTATATTTTGGAGACCATGGTATCAAACCAAATTTAACCACCATCTGAAAATCCTTTTAAGTCCCCTATTGAGGTCCATTTTCTATTCTCCGCACTAGCTATTTCATTCTTCTCCAATCCTATTAAATGCCATCTAATCCTCTCACTCTCAGATAACCTTTCTCTTACTTCAATAGAGAAAATAAAATTCACTAGATTGGAACTGGATCAACTTTCTCTAAAAGATAAAAGAATTAAAAGAAAACAAGAACTAAAGAAAAAAACAGAAAAGGAAAATATAAATGGGCAAATGTTTCTCCTGCAACCTATTTTTTTTTTCATTTGTGCCCTGATTCCTATGCAATTCTGTCTGCCCAGGATTTCTTTAACCTCATACTCTCATCTTTATTTATATCCTCTCTTCTAAACTTCTCCATGGTAATTAAAGATACTCAATTTGTTCAAGTGTAAAAAAGAAAATTCTATCCTTCTCTATTTAACACTACCTCATCCACCGTCCCCTGCAGCCACACCATCCGGTCACCTGTCAACACCTCTCTCCACTTTGCAGCATGTCACAGGTTGCTACACTGGCCATGTTTAATATTCTAATTTTTTTTTTTTTTTTGCTTCAGGGTAAGAATACATGTGCGCACACGCACACACACACTTACCCCTACATTTCCTCTTGTATCTTCGGCCACTCTTGCAGAAACATTTTTTTAAACTCTATTTCCTTTTCCAAACTTTCACTTGTATTCTTTAAATTTCTCTCCCAAATGCCCATCTCTCCTAATACTACAAACTTTCCCTGGACTGTCTTCTGACTTCCATGGCTTCAATGTTCATGTTTTATAACTCCTCCAAAATTTAACTTTATATTCCAGCTGCCCTAAATTTCAGAATGGAATATTTCAAACATTAGATATGGCCCCTTGGATATAAGGAAGGGACCTCAACTCAACATCTTCACACTGAAACCTGCAGCTTTTCCTCTGCCTGCTAGCCTCACCAATCACCATTCTCTGGTGCCTGCTCTTTTTGGAGGTATTTATTGTAGGGCACCTCCCACATCTGAGGTGCCTAAAACAGATACATGAGCCTCATCCAGGATCTTGCCATATTCTCCCCAGATTTAGGATACTTGACAGTTATCCAGAGTAACTGATTTACAGAAAAATATACATATTTAATTAGTATAACATTTCCTTTTGTTCTGGTATTTTTCTGAATGTAACTTGATTATCTATTTAATGTTATTATTTTCAATTGAATCATTTTGCCTAAAATAAAACTTTTATTAGTCTTTTTGTGAATTAAATACTATAGTTTCCCCCTGTATTAGTAAAGCTAGTCTTGGGTCAGCATGGTTTACTTTTGTAATCTTGTACCAAGAATCAAGTACTTCAAATAGTTTTCCTAGAAAAACTTAAAATAGTAGCATATGTCATCCTACTTTATATTAGTAATGAAATACATTATGAATAAGGTAGAAAAAGTATTTTAACTTTTAATCAGGCATTGTTTGATACACATGTAACCTATATGTAAATATGCATAAAAATAATAAAATTAATATTTATAAATCCACCAATATGATTGAGGGAATCTGGGATTTTTCCTCAATTCCATCACAGTGATAAAAGAGATGTTATATGTAGTATTTCTAATTTCCTTGTCTTTAGAAGATGATTTCCTGCAGTTTTTATTTTTAAGCATTATAAACATGTTATCATACAGTGTGCAGATTTATGTGACCTCCATTTTCTATTAGCAATATGTTTGTGAGACTCATTCATTTGATTTTTGAGGCCCTAAACCCTTTTCTTTCACACTTCTATGGATGAATAAAACATGATTTTGTTTGCCATTATTCATGGATATTTAATTTGTTTTCATTTGTATACTATGGTAAAAATTGCAGTAATAAATATTCTTTTTTAAGTATTTCACTATTTATAAATATACAAGAGTTTACCTAATATGTATCCTAAAGATGGACTTGTCTGGTCAAAAGGTAACTACATCTTCCATATAAACAGGCATCATTAAATTGAATTCCTCAGTATTGTGCCAATTCCCACAACTGGAATCTACATTCTTGTCAAGACATTTTATCATCATTTTTAGTTTTTGTCAATTAATTAATTAAGATTTTTTGCTGATCTTAATTATTTTTGAGTATGTGAGATGATATTCTATTTTGATTATCATTCACATATTTTTGGTTAAAAATTAGGCTAAGAAATTTTTGGATTATTTGCAGTCTTGTGGTCTCTTATGTGAAATGCCTATGTATTTTGCCTGATTTCCTGTTTGGTTATCTGTAGTCTTGTTTTGTTACAGTAGGTTTTTTTTGTTCATTTGTTTTTCCATTGTTTATTGAAGGAGTACTACATTATATACACTTAAGAGATAGAAAGTAGGAAGTCTCTGTTAAATCTACCACCCAGAACAAAAACAAATTTTACTATAGCATTATCCTTTTAAAAATCTGTCTGAATATGGATGCAACATTTTGTGTGTGTGTGTATGCATCTGTGTGTCTAAATATATCCTTCTATAAGTTGTTTTTAGTAAAAATAAAGGCATATTTTGTATGCAGATCTGCACATTGGTTTTCTTATTTAACAGTATGTCTCGGACAATATAAATCTACTTCCTCATTTACAAGTGATACCTTCTTATATCCACAATTTAGTAGACCTAAAGGTGCCTCCCAACTTTTTTTGTGGTAAGAACCCTTAACATCAGAGCTTCTTGACAAATTTTTAAGTGTATAATACAGCCTTGTAAATGATGGGCACAATCATGTACAGCAGATCTCTAGAACATAATCATTTTGATTAAGTGAAACTTTACATCCATTATTGGTTCTGAATACTAAATTTTTTCTACTATTTTCATTGTTAGTTTTCCCCCCAAATTTTTAATGTATATTTTAACTTCTTAAAATATAAGCCAGCAGCACATCAAAAAGCTTACATACCGTGATTAAGTAGGCATTATCTCTGAGATGCAAGGTTGGTTAAATATATGCAAATCAATAAATGTAATCCATCACATAAACAGAACTAAAGACAAAAACCACGTGATTATCTCAATAGACGCAGATAAGGCTTTCAAAATTGAATAACCCCTTCATCTTAAAAACTCTTTTGATAAAATTTCACACCCATTCATGTTAAAAACTATCAATAAATTAGGAATTAAAGGAAAATTTCTCAAAATAATAAGAGCCATCTATGACAAGCCCACAGCCAACATCATACTAAATGGGCAAAAGCTGGAAGCACTGCCCTTGAAAACCACCTTAAGACAAGGATGCCCTCTCTCACCACTCCTATTCAACATAGTATTGGAAGTCCTGGCCTGGTCAATCAGGCAAGAGAAAGAAATAAAGCATATTCAAACAGGAAAACAGGAAGACAAACTGGCCCTGTTTGCAGATGACATGATCCTATATGTAGAAGGCCCCATGGTATCAGCCCAAAAACTTCTTAACCTGATAAATAATTGCAGCAAGGCCTCAGTATACAAAATCAATGTGCAAAAAATCACTAACATTCCTATACACCAACAACAGTCAAGCTGAGAGCCAAATTAAGAATGCAGTCCTATTCACAATTCCCAAAATGGAATGAAATACCTAAGAATACAGCTAACTAGGAAGGTGAAAGATCTCACTAAGGAGAACTATAAAACTCTGCTCAAGGAAATCAGAGATGATACAAACAAATAGGAAAACATTCCACGCTCATGGATAGGAATATCAGTATCATAAAAATGGCTATATTTCCCAAAGCAATTTATAGATTCAATGTTATTTTTATTAAACTACCATTGACATTTTTCCTCGAACTAGGAAATCTATTTTAAAACTTATATGAAACCATAAAAGATCCCGAATAGCCAAGGAAATCCTAAGCAAAAAGAATAAAGCTGGAGGCATCACGCTATGCGACTTCAAACTACAGTGCAGGGCTACAGTAACAAACACAGCATAGTACTGGTACAAAAACAGACACATTGATCAAAGGAACAGAATAGAGAACTGAGAAATAAGGGTGATTTTCAACAAACATGACAAAAGCAAGCAATGGGAAAAGGACTACCTATTTAATAAATAGTGCAGGGATAACTGGCTAGCCATATGCAGAAGGTTAAAACTGGAACCCTTCCTTACATCATATACAAAAATTAACTTAAGATATATTAAAGAGTTAAGTGTAAACCTAAAACTATAAAAACCGTGGAAGACAATCTAAAACTATAAAGGGCTTCAAAGTAAGACTGTCAGCTTCAAATTCTCTTGAAAATGAGCAAAGGCATGGAAGATTTATCCTTAAATGTGGAGTTGTATTTTCACTTGTAACTTTCGAATGTCCTTTATATATAAAGCATGAAAAAGCTATTTTGATTTCTTACTTAAAAAAATGGGAGTCTCTCTTTTTGACCTACAGAATTTTCATAGTACACAAAGTAAGGCTATTATTGGGAAATTTGTTTAATTCAATGACAGCTTTACATCTGGAAAAATAATAAATGACTAAATGAACTTATTTTTTCAGTTTAGATTGAATATAGCAGTTTTTTTCAAAATAATTCATTGTCTACAATTTCTGCTTTGTATTTGGTAAGCTAAACTATTCCGTATATTAAAGCTTAATGATTATAATATCCTCTTTGCAATATGTCATAACAGTATCATAAAATTTTACATGAGAACTATAAATTTATTCAATCTTACCTAGATTTTATTTTGTTGCTATTGCTTCTTAAACTTGATGCCATTATCTTTCTTTAATTTATGTTGATGAATAAGAATATTAGTATTTTTCTCATATACCATAATTAAATTAGCACCTAATTTTTGTGTATTTAAAAACCATTTTTAGTTCATTTTTTATTGAGTTATAATTGACAAAATGCTCATCTTTAGTGTACAGTTCAATGAATTCTTGCAAATGCATATACCCATGTGACTGAAACCCTTATAAACATTTCTATTATCCCAGAAATGTTCCTCAAACCCTTTCTCCCTCAGTCTCATTGTCATCACAAATTGACCACTCTACTTACAGTTTTTACCATAGATTAGTTTTAGTTGCCTAAAACTTCATAGTAATCTTGTATCTGTTATATTTCTCACTTGACATGTTCAACCGCAATGAAATAGGGCATCAAATGTTGGGGTGGAGCACCAGAGAAAAGCAGAGCAGGGGAGAGCAGATAAGAGAAAAACAAAAAGCCAAACAAAACAACAATGAAAGCAAGTGATGAAGAGAAACTCTTGTCTACTTTAGTATTCATTTGGGTATAGAAAGTTGAAAATAATGATAAATAGTAGTAAATTTGTTATTATGGCATTTTGGTAAGTATTATATACAATGTACTTGGCTGAGCCTTGTGGCATAGATAAATATACAAGTAAAACTTCATTAACTTTTTTTTGTAAGTGCCTATATAGGTACTTGATATGGTTTGGCTTTGTCCCCACCCAAATCTTGTCTGGAATAGTAGCTCCCATAATTCCCACGTGTTAATAGGAGGGACCTGGTGGGAGATAATTGAATCATGGGGCAGTTTTCCTCATACTGTTCTCATGGTAGTGAATAATTCTCACAAGATCTGACGGTTTTACAGTTGGGGGTTTCCCTGTACCAGCTCTCTTTGTCTGCCACCATATAAGATGTGACTTTGCTCCTCCTTTGTCTTTCACCATGATTGTGAGGCCTCCCCAGCCATGTGGAACTGTGAGTCAATTAAACTTCTTTCCTTTATAAATTACCCTGTCTCAAGTATGTCTTTATCAGCAGTGTGAAAATGGACTAATACAGTATCTATGCAATTTATTTTATCCAATTTGCAATAAAAAAAATTAAGACATTATATTTGATGTAAAACATGGTAAGGCATATTCCCAATGATCAGGTATGACCACTGTTGCTGTGATGACAATGTGATTTTGTAAAATATTCCATCAAATTTATAGAATAGACTCTTTCAAAGGATATTGGTGGTATCTAGCTAAATTCTACTCTGGTCTAAGTATATGAAATTCCCTAAAACTTTCTGATAAGTGATCTTACTATCTTGAATTGAACAATTACAAAGATGGTAAAGTAACTCCTGAAAATGAGGCAGGATAAGTAAGGTTATGAGGTGATACTGACTTCTCCCCTTGTGTGAAGCCCAGTAGGTTCTGCATCGTTTGCACCCTAGTGTCTCAGCACCTCACTATTTTGTAAGGTAAGCAGTCCTACAGGATACCAGCAGACTCTCAGAGAGTTACAAGTTCCAGCTACCCTAAACGGCCAGGGGAAGAGAACAAACGTTCCTTATTCCTGATGTAGCTTCCCCAACCTCCAGCCAATCAGCACCAAAATCCTAAGACACTACTAACTACAAATTCCTGTGGGAGGTGTGGTGGTATGAATTCCTGCCTGGAGAGAAAGTGGCTAGAGACTTCTCCAAGTCATGCATACACAGCTAGGTTCAAGATTTAGCTTATAATAACCTTGTCCCCATTTTAATAATTCAAAACACACCCCTAGGTGATGTTAGATGCTAATTATACATGTGATAAGTGTTAGAGCATGTAGATGCTGAATGCATGCGCCAACTGCGGATCCACCTTTACATACTTGACTTCAGTGTTTATGAATATGTATGAACAGCTCCCATAAAGGGAATTCCCTTTGAGGCACTAGCTGTTGTCTCTAGCTTTGAGCAGCCCGATCTGCTTCTCAGAGGGTACCTTCACTTTGCAATAAACTTCTTCACCTACTCTTACTTTGGACTTGCTCTCAAAATCTTTTGTGCAGCAAAGTCAATAAACTGAACCGGCCCACAGACAGCAAAGTATCTGTTGCCATTTAGTATTGTTCTGTCTTGTCTTAAACTGAAATCCACCTCCCTTTAAATGTTACTGATTAATCTTTGCCATGCTTCAACTCTTCGAAGCTTGCGATAATGAATTTGGGGAGGAAGAGTGGAAATCGCATGTTGCCTGTAGTTAAAAAAAAAAAAAATCTTAAAATTTTTCATCAATATCCATGCCTAGAGTGATTATCTTCTTTATATATATTTTTTTATTTTATATATGCGATAAAACTATTACATTTTGCTCATTTATAAATCCGCATAAAAATACTCTGTAAAAAAGTGTTATTTGTCTTTGTTTTACCAAATACATTTTCGTTGTGTCTGAGTAAACTTGGTAAAGATTATCATAAAATTACTATTCGTATAATAAAATTAATTCATAAAGTAAAAATAAAATTATGCTCTGGTGTTTATGCTATTACATTTATGGTGGTTTTGGAACTTTGTGTATTTTCATTGGATGAGGCCATTGTCATTTAGCTATTTAAACACTATGTTCTCTGATATTATTACTTTATTTTACTTTTATGTAAAAATATTTAATGTGCTATTAAATATAGAAATGTATTTAATCTTTATTTGTAATTTGATATAAGGAGCTAAAATGTTTTAGAAAATGTCGGGCTCTCTAAGTGTATATTTTTCCTTTTCTATTTTAAAATATACAAAAATAATCATTCTTTTTTGGTTACTAAAAGAAAATAAAAATTATTTTTGCATTTACTTTGTCAGCAACTGTTCTAAAGCTTTGACCTATGTTGATTGTTTAATCTTCACATGAAAAGTCTGAGGTAGATGCTGTTATTGTCATGTTTTACTGGCTAGCAATGGATACAGTTACACTAAATGATTTGCTTAAGATGACTTATCTAGCACAATTTGCTGTATAGCAGCCTGGTTTCAATGCCGGAGCTGTAACCACTTCATTGTACTAAAGATTTTTTGATTGATTCCTGTAACAGGCAAACAAACAAATCAGTCATAACCATTGTATGATCTCCTCCTTTCCTTCCTTGTAATTGTTTTAAATTTGAGAATATTTTAATGAATTAATACACTTGGTTTGTATAATAATTTGAAATATCTCCTCCTAAGTTAATAATTCCCAAAAGAAAATTCCTTCTAGATAAATATAGCCTGTATATCACGAACTGTATATTTACTTATTTTTTTTCTCCTATAGGGTTTGTTCCATAGAATTATAAAATGCGTACCCTCATCACTATAGCTCTGACCATTTTATGGAAAAACTGATGTGTTCATAAGTATGAAAACTCAGAAGAAAGGAAAAATGTGCATTCTATACTGAGTATCAAGAGTGCAAGGTAAATACTACAGAGTGGATCTATATTGTATAGATCAAAATCAAAAATATTCTAAAAAATGCATATTCAAGCCTAATGAAAGATAGAAAATAAAGATTAAAAACTTTCACAATATTAATAAATCTTACTTAATATTTTCTGTCTAGATCCTTCCAGGTCCCTAAGGGTATATATCTAGTTTGTAGAATAAATAAACTCATTTGAACTGAGGATTTAATATAGTTAAGCATTAAGATTTTCTACTTTTAATATAATAAGTCAGGCTTCTTATTTTCTATTACCTAATACAGGGAAAAATTAGTGTTTAAAGCTCTTGATATTAACCAATTATATAAACTGGATACTAAAACTATTTTAAATGCTTTTCATGGTAGATGATATAAACTCATTATTCCCTGTATTTATTTTAAAATATAGGCCTCTTTCTTATTGATTCAAGGAATTTCTATTAATGTTTGCATAGCATATGTTTTTCGTAGTTTAACATTCAAATCGTTTTTAAATGTATAGCATATAATTGAAATCTTGTTGTTAGTTTCACAATCTTGGCCTATTTAGTTCTTTTAAATTTAATGTAATTACTGATATTATGGGGTCTACCATCTTACTCTTTGTTTTTATTTGTCCATCTGTTTTTTGCTCTTTTGTTTTTCCTTTTCTGTATTTTAGATCGATTTGAGAGTTATTTTTGTTTCCCAAGTCCTTATCTTTGCCAACATTTGGTTGTTGCAGGGTTTTTTTGCTTCATTAATTTGGTATTTTTGGCCATTATAGTGAATGTATACTGGTATTTCTATGTGGTTTGAATATTTATTTCCCTGATAATCAATAATGTCAAACACTGTATTTACATGTTTATTGGTCATTTATAAAGCTTCCTTTATATATTATATGTGGCAGGTTTTGCACTGATCTTTCATTGGAGTGTTTGTCTATTTGTTGTTGAGTAGGAGGAGTGCTTTATACAGTCTGGAGACAAAAAATTTGTTAGGTACACACATTGTGAATATTTTCTATGTATATGTCTTTCTTTTTCACTCTCTTAATTTTGTCTTTCAGTTAGAAGTCATTGATATTGTTAAAGTCTAATATATTATTTTACCTTTTTATGGTTATTTTTGTGTCCTGAGAAATTATGTATGAACGTGGTTGAGATGATATTTTTCCACAGTTACTTCTAGGCTTATATTTTTAGCTATTATATTTTGGACTATGACATTTAAAAATTATTATTTTTGTATAATATGAGATAGGGATTGAAGTTCATTGATTTAAATTTGGTTATCTGGTTCTAACACCAATAATTTAAAAACTTTTCTCTTTGCATTGTTTTGATGTTTACATGGGAAATTAATCAATCATAAAAACATGAATCTATTGTTACACACTCTCTTTTGTTTCATTGCTTCAACTGAATTATTTTTATGTTGATGTCATACTATATTGATAACTGTAGCTCCATATTAAGGTTTGAGGTAAGGTAGTATAAAACCTTCAAAGTTGTTCTTTTATTTTAAGACAATTTCAGTGATTCTTGAGTTTTCCATACGAATCTTAAAATCATTTTAACGTTTCCATTAATAACATCCTCAGAGATTTTGATCAAAATTGCATTAAAAATATAGATCAGTTTATGAAGAGTTAGCATCTTAACAATATTCCGTTATCTAATCAATGGGCATTGTCTATCTCAGCAATGTTTTGTAAACTTCAATGCAGATATATTGAACATATTTTGTTTAATTAATACAACACATTTGAGCTTATATATATGTATATATATACACACATATATACACATATATACACACATATATACACACATATATACACATATATACACACACATATATGTATATATGTATATGTATATATGCATATGTATATATGTATATGTATATATACACATGTATATATGTGTATATGTATATACACGTGTATA
Source organism: Homo sapiens (assembly GCF_000001405.40). NCBI lineage: Eukaryota > Metazoa > Chordata > Mammalia > Primates > Hominidae > Homo > Homo sapiens. Next base: position 103,023,966 of record NC_000006.12, on the reverse strand, counting down.
TATATGTATATACACATATGTGTATATATGTATATGTATATACACATATGTGTATATATGTATATGTATATACGCATATGTATATATGTATATGTATATACGCATATGTATATATGTATATGTATATACGCATATGTATATATGTATATGTATATATGTATATGTATATACGCATATGTATATATGTATACGGAAATATGCATATGTATATACACATATATGTGTATATATATGTATATGTATATATACACATATGTGTGTGTGTGTGTGTGTGTGTGTGTGTGTTAAATAGGGTAAGTGAACCATAGCACCTTCTGTGGCCAGGTCAGAGAATAAGCTTGTAGGCTACTCAGCCAGAAACAAGAGCCAAAATACTCTACCAAGCAATTTCACTTGTGAATATATTCCTGGCACCCCCAACACAGGAACAAAGGTCTACTGTGAAACCTCATACCCTTCTGTCTCTCAGAACTAAATGAAACTCCAGAATCTTCACCAGGATGGAAGGCAAGCAACCTCTTTCCACATTACTCTCTTTCAACTGAAATTCACCAATGAATCCTGTGTGGCAATATGGAAGCTAGGACTATATATATTTTTATTATTATTATTATTATTTTTTTTTTTTGAGACAGAGTTTCACTCTTGTTGCCTGGGCTGGAGTGCAATGGTGTGATCTCAGCTCACCACAACCTCTGCCTCCTGGGTTGAAGCAATTCTCCTGCCTCAGCCTCCCCAGTATCTGGGATTACAGGCGTGTGCAACCATGCCAGACTAATTTTGTATTTTTAATAGAGACAGGGTTTCTCCAAGTTGGTCAGGCTGGTGTTGAACTCCTGACCTCAGGTGATCTGCCTGCCTCAACCCGCCAAAGTGCTGGGATTACAGGCATAAGCCACTATGCCCAGCCCTGAGACTACATATTTTTTTAAATTTTACCTTAAGTAAGTAAATCTCTCAATTTTAATCAGAAAGTTCAAAATATATTAGAGACCACAGATCTTAAAAGTGGCCAATAATGAGTGTTGTTGTATGATTTTTGCATTATTTCTGTATTATGTGTATTTTTAAAAATACAAAATGCATTGTCATCCTCTCACAAAAAGACTGAAAATAAACCCATTTCACGCAAGTGCTGCAATTTTTTTTCTCAGTTTAGATCTTAAATCCAAAATCAATACACTTAAAAGTGAATAAAGAGAATTGTTGTAAACTGTGCTGTTGGATGTTTCTGTGATTACATCAATGATTATATCTGGTACATTTCCTGGTGCATAATTGCATGTATTAGACTCAGTGCCTACTGTTGACTGTCTGCAACCACTAGTTCAGGCTGCATCATTCAAACATTTTAGATACATGGGAAAGAAAAATCAAAACTAGAAAACAGAGGATCTAATAAATAAAAATGCTTTGAATTATTGTTAGCTCGTTGACTTGTAATTATTGTTCTAATTTAATTTTATTGTCTGGAAATAAAAGGGTCTTTGGTATTAGAGTTCTCCAGAGAAACAGAACCAATAGGATGTGTGTGTGTGTGTGTGTGTGTGTGTGTGTGTGTGTGTGTGTAGAAAGAAAGAAAGATTGATCTATTAAGGAATTGGCTTATGTGATTATGGAGGCTAAGAAGTCCCAAGATCTGTAGGAAGCAAGCTGGAGACCAGGGAGACCACTGATATAGTTCCAGTGCTAGTCTACAGGCCTGAGAACTTGGAAAACTGATAGTGTAAGTTCTAGTCTGAAAGTTGGGAGGCTTGAGACCCAAAAAACCCCGATCTTTTACTTAGAATCTGAGACCCAATAAAACCAATGTCCCAGCTCAAAGCAGTCAGGCAACAGAAATTCTCTTTTACTGGGCCTTTCTATTCTATTTAGGTCTTCAAGGGATTGTATGAGGCCCACCAATTAGGAAGGGCAATCTGTTTTACCCAGTCTACCAATTCAAATGTTCATCTCATCCAGAAACACTTAACAGACTCACCCAAAATGTTTGACCAAATGTCTGGGTACTCTGTGTCCCAGGCTAGTTGACACATGAAAACTAACCACCACAGTCCTCTTTGTCTCATTCCTAGTTTAAAAATGTAGAAGCAATTTTTGAAATTGCTCATTATAAAATAAAATGCAAACAATAAGAATAAATAAGAACACATGGACATATAGAAGGGAACAACACACACTGGGGCCTTTTGAAGGGTAGAAGGTGGGAGGAGAAAACGATCACGAAAAATAACTAATAGGTACTAGGCTTCATACCTGGCTGATAAAATAATCTGTACTAAAAACTCTCACGGCACAAGTTTACCTATGTAACAAACCTGCACTTATACCTCTGAACTTAAAAGAAAAGTGTAAAAAAAATAAGAAAAAGTATTTAAAATTACTCAATTAATAATAAATACTGCAGGGAATGCTGGCTCACGCCTGTAATCCCAGCACTTCGGGAGGCCAGGCAGGCAGGTCACTTGAGGTTAGGAGTTTGAAACTAGCCTGGCCAACATGGTGAAACCTTGTCTCTACTAAAAATACAAAAAATTAGCTGGGTATGGTGGCACGTGTATGTAATTCCAGCTACTGGGGAGGCTGAGGAAGGAGAATCACTTGAACCTGGGAGATGGAGGTTGCAGTGAGCAGAGATTGTGCCACTGCACTCCAGCTGGGAGACAGGGTGAGACTCCGTCTCAAATAATAATAATAATAAATATTAACTTTTAAATTAACTAGTTCTTTTAGGAAATATATATATACACATGAAAATACAATTTTTTAATGATTTTATTCCTTTTATCTTGTTAATACAGATATTATCTCACAGTGTAACATCAGTTAAATGTTTTAAAATGCAAACGTAATTCTTAAGCACTCTATAATATTTCAGGGTATAAGCCTACCGTAATTTGGTGAACTGTTCATCAGTAGACATTTGAGTTGTTTTCAAACAGCTGCTTAAAGAATGTCATAGTGTATCTGTCTGAGTTTTAATCATAAACAACAATTTATATTGTACCACGGTAAGTAGTTTAAGAAGAGAAAATGATTTGGAATCTCCAACAGGTCCCAAAAGTCTGGCTAGGAGGCTACACAACAAGAAGCAATGTCAAATGGTAACATGCAACTACTCTGCTGAGGACCCCACCACTTCCACCATGGAAACAAATCCAGCAGATCACACTGCCAGTGCTGAACACACAATGCCACACACTCTGCTTCTGCTATCCCTGAAATCCAGATGCTTTTGCCAAGAACCTTTGACTGAAAATTATTTCTACAAGGCACTACTATTTTTCATTTATATAAAATTTTATGTCTATCATGGGATCATCTGTCTAGCCATGGTTATTTTGCCTGACTATGCCTTAATTGTAAGGGAACATAAGAAAGCAAGTTTGTGGCTTCTTCCTTAGCCAGACAGGACTCAGTTTGCAGAATTTCCCCCCAAGACAGGAATAACATTAAAGAGATGCTGGGTATCCACTCACATAACAAATACAAATTTAACTTAACATGTACATTTACCCTCATCAACCTCCCATGTTCTTTAATATTTAACTTCCAAGCAATCCAACATGTTCCAGCTCAAATAATATCACTGCTCCAGAAATTTTCAACTCTACCCAACTTACTTCATCTTGAGTCTAAGTTGTGGACATGCATGGATCACAATAGCTCCTGTGCTAACGTTAGGTTGGTGTGACCCAATAGGGAGCCCTGTCAGAAGATCAGAGAAAAGGAGAGTGAGCTATAGGTGTTTATTCTTTTGGCTTTCTCCCTGTGGGTTTGCCTGAAGCTAGCTGCATCTTTTAATTGAAAGTGAACTCTTTACATTTGAGTTGTAATTAAATTCTAATTGTTCCCTTCTGGATTCTAGTAATTGCTGTCTCTGCTCTTTCCTTTGGGCCTGGTGGTGTATACCCCTAAGGTACTTAATGCACTATCCCTTCTGGTTTCCTTTCAACTTGTCACTTATTTACCAATAGCCCCTGTATTAGTCCGTTTCTACACTGCTAATAAAGATATACTGGAGACTGGGCAATTTTCAAAAGAAAGAGGTATAATGAATTCAGTTCCATGTGGCTGGGGAGGCCTCACAATGGTGGAAGGTGAAAGGCATGTCTCACATGGCAGCAGACAAGAGAAGAGAATGAGAGCCAAGCAAAACGGGAAACCACTTATCAAACCATCAGATCTCGTGAGACTTATTCACTATCACGAGAACAGTAGGGAGGAAACTGCCCCCATGATTGAATGATCTCCCACCAGGTCCCTTTCACAACACATGGGAATTATGGGAGTTACAATTCAAGATGAGATTTGGATGGGGACAGAGCCAAACCATATCAGCCCCCTTTCTCAACACTCTTGGAACAGAATGTGCCTGTTTTTTGCTGTTAGCTGATGGATATAGTAATTATATTTGTTATTCCAAAAAAGATGCTTCCCTCTGACCAAAGGAAAATATCCTGAAGTTAATATGTTATCACATCTAACTTTAATGCAGAATTTCTGTTTCATGTCTTTTCCTGTTTTATTGAAACTCCAAGTTGTTACATAGTAACCAATCAAATAAATTGTAAATTTACCAATATTAATAAACTCTCTAAAACTAAAAGGAGACTGGGAAAGATATAAAGGGGAAAAAAAGCTCATTAGAACATATAATAAAATGTAACACAGCCAGCAAGATATGTAGGTAGATATCATAGTCCTAGTTTCTGTAATCTTTCATTCACAAGGCAATATATAGTAAGTAAGTCTGCATCTTCCACTCTCCATTTTTCTTTCCCTTGATCTACAGCCAGCTCTTCCATTGGGAGTTCCTCACCTGCTGGATTCACTTCACTTTGTCTCCTGAGATATCTGATATCTCTGTAGTCTTTCCTTTATAAGTTTTATGCAGTTTATTTGTCCACTTAATAGGCATCTTAAAATCACTTATATTCATGTTGAAGAATATGTTGTAGATTGAGGAGAACAGGCAGAGTGAAACAGAATTCTCAATTAGAATATTACAGGGAGGCGGGACCAAGATGGCCAACTAGCAGCTGTGGCAATCGGAAGCTCCCATTGAAACGAACAAAAACAGTGTGTAAATCCAGCACCGGTAAGTGAGGTATCCAGGTTCTGTCATCAAGACTGACTAGGCAGTTGATGTGACCCACGCGAGGAAGGTAGAGCTGTGTGGTGTGGCGGCCCACCTGAGAGCCACACAGGGCAGGGGAGCCCCCACCCTCAAGCCAAGGGAGGCAGAGAGTGAGCCTGCTGCCCAGCCTGGGAAACCATGCTTTTTCCACAGAACTGTGCAACCCACGATCAGAAGATCCCACTCATGAGCCCATGCCGCTGGGGCCTAGGGTCCCAACCATGGAGCCATGCAGATTCTCAGCCACTCAGCTAGAATCTGCTTAAGCCTGCCAAGTTCCTTGGGGCAGGGGCGGCTGCCTGCTGTCTAAGCCCTCTGAGCAACTTGGGAGAGAGGTGGCAGCCAACGCTGGGACTGCTAGCTGCCTAACACACTAAGATCCCAGGGTGAAGGAAGAGCTGCAGCCATCTCTATAACTCCAGGCCATGCTTTTTCCCTGCTGGAGCAAGGAAGGCTGGATGGATTTGTCCCAAGAGGTATTCCTCACAGTTCAACATACCGGCTGTGTCAGACTGTGGACAGAGTGCATCTTCAGGCCCGACCCTAACCCATTCCTCCTCACTGGGTGGGTCCTCCTTGCAGGAACTCCAACAACTCCAGCCAGGGTTTCGGAGACAGAACTTTGTTCTCCCTGGGCCTGAGCCCCTAGTGGGAGGGGTGGCCATAGTCTCTGTGGACCAGCAGACTTAGTCATTCCTCCTGCTAGTTCTGAGGAATCCGGACATCCTAGATGAGTGGGTTTCCCTCCAGCGTGGCACAACGCCTCCACCAAGGGACAGCCAAAGTGCTTCGTTAAACACGTCGTGCTCCCCATGCCACCCAACCGGGTGAAACCCTCCAACAGGAGTTATCAGATACCCTATACAGGAGCATTCCTACTGGCATCAGGTGATCGGTGCCCCTGGAGGTCAGAGATCCCAGAGGAAGGAGCAGGCACCATCTTTGCTGTTTACCAGCCTCCTCAAGCGACATCTCCAGGCATGGGAATGAACCAGATGAATAGGGCCTGAAGTGAACCCCCAGCAAACCACAGGTCCTACAGAAAAGGGACCTGACCATTGAAAGAAAAACAAGCAAAGAGAAAGCAACAACAACAGCATCAACAAAAAATGTCCCCATGAAATCCTGATGTATGTAAGAGTTAGCAGCATCAAAGATCAAAACTAGACAAACTCATTAAAATGAGAAAGAATCAACAAAAAAGCTGAAAACTCGAAAGGCCAGAGTGCCTCTTCTCCAAATGATCGCAGCACCTCTCTAGCAAGGGCACAGAACTGGATGGAAGATGAGATGAACGAATTAACAGAACTTGGCTTCAGAGGGTGGGTAATAACAAACTTCACTGAGCTAAAGAAGCATGTTATAACCGAATGCAAAGAAGCTGAAAACCTATATAAAAGGTTACAGAAGCTGCTAACTAGAATAACGAGTTTCGAGAGGAACATAAATAACCTGATGGAGCTGAAAAATGCAGCATGAGAACTTCGTGAAGCACACACAAGGATCAACAGCTGAATCGATCAAGTGGAAGAAAGAATATCAGAGTTTGAAGACCATCATGCTGAAATAAGACAGGCAGACAAGATTAGAGAAAAAAGAATGAAAAGGAACAAACAAAACCTCCAAGAAATATGGGACTATGTAAAAAGACCAAGCCTACTATTGATTGGAGTACCTGAAAGGGATGGGGAGAATGGAATCAAGTTGGAAAACACACTTCAGGTTATTTTCCAGGAGAACTCCCCCAACATAGCAGGACAGGCCAACATTTAAATTCAGGAAATACAGAGAACACGATTAAGATACTCCATGAGATGATCAAACCCAAGACACATAATCATCAGACTCTCCAAGGTCAAAATGAAGGAAAAAATGTTAAGGACAGCCAGAGGGAAAGGACAGGTAACCTACAAAAGGAAGCTCATCAGACTAACAGTGGATCACTCAGCAGAAACCCTAAAAGCCAGAAGAGAATGGGAGCCAATATTGGACATTCTTAAATAAAAGAATTTTCAACCCAGTATTTCATACCCAGACAAACTAAGCTTCATAATTGAAGGAGATATACAATCCTTCTCAGACAAGCAAATGCTGAGGGATTCTGTCGCCACCATGTGTGCCTTACAAGAGCTCCTGGAGGAAGCACTAAATATGGAAAGGAAAAACTGGTACCAGCCACTGCAAAAACACACTGAAATATAAAGACCAAAGATATTATGAAGAAATGGCATCAACTAGTCTGCAAAATAACTAGCTAGCATCATTATGACAGGAACAAATTCACAAATAACAATATTAAGCTTAAATGTAAATGAACTAAATGTCCCAGTTAAAAGACACAGACTGGCAGACTGGAAAAGAGTGAAGACGCATCACTGTGCTGTATTCAGGACACCTATGTCATGCACAAAGACACACAAAGGCTCAAAATAAAGGGATGGAGGAAAATTTATCAAGCAAATTGAAAGAAAAAAAAAGCAGGGATTGCAATCCTGGTCTCTGAAAAAAAAACAGACTTTAAACCAACAAAGATCAAAAAAGACCAAGAAGGGTATTACATAATGGTAAAGGGATCAATTCAACAAGAAGAGCTAACTATCCTAAATATGTATGCACCCAATACAGAAGCACCCAGATTCATAAAACAAGTTTTTAGAGACCTAGGAAGAGACTTAGACTCCCACACAATATTAATGGGAGACCTTAACACCCCACTGTCAATATTAGACTGATCAGTGAGACAGAAAATTAACAAGGTATTCAGGACTTGAACTCAGCTCTGGATCAAGTGGACCTAATACGTATCTACAGAACTCTCCACCCCAAATCAAAAGAATACACATTCTTCTAATTGCCACATGTCACTTATTCCAAAATCAACCACATAATTGGAAGTAAAACACTCCTCAGCAAATGCAAAAGAACTGAAATCATAAAAAACAGTCTCTCCGACCACAATACAATCAAATTAAAACCGAGGATTAAGAAACTCACTCAAAACAACATAACTAAATGGAAATTGAACAACTTGATCCTAAATGATTCCTAGGTAAATAATGAAATTAAGGCAGAAATCAAGAAGTTATTTGAAACCAATGAGTATAAAGAGACAATGTATCAGAATTGCTGAGACACAGCTAAAGCAGTGTTAAGAGAGAAATTTATAGTGCTAAATGCCCAAATCAGAAAGATAGAAAGATCTCAAATCAATACCCTAACATAACAATGAAAAGAACTAGGGAAGCAAGAGCAAACAAATCCAAAAGCTAGGAGAAGACAATAAACTACTAAGATAAGTGCAGAACTGAAGGAGATAGAGACACAAAAATCCCTTCCAAAAATCAATGAATTCAGGAGCTGATTTTTTGAAAAACACAAACAAAATAGATAGACTGCTAACTAGACTAATAAAGAAGAAAAGAGAGAAGAATCGAACAGACACAATAAAAAAATGATAAAGGGGATATCACCACTGACCCCACAGAAACACAAACTACCATCAGAGAATACTATAAACACCTCTGAACAAACAAACTAGAAAATTTAGAAGATACTGATAAATTCCTGGACACATACACCCTCCCAAGACTAAACCAGGAAGAAGTCGAATCCCTAAATAGACCAATATTTCAAGTTCTGAAATTGAGGCAGTAATTAATAGCCTACCAACCAAAACAAGGCCAGAACCAGATAGATTCACAGCCGAATTCTACCAGAGGTACAAAGAGGAGCTGGTATCATTCCTTCTGAAACAATTTCAAACAATTGAAAAGGAAGGACTCCTCCCTAACTCATTTTATGAGGCCAACATCATCCTGATACCAGAACCTGGAACAGACACAGCAAAAAAGAGGACTTCAGGTCAAAATCCCTGATGAACATTGATGCAAAATTCCTCAATAAAATATTGGCAAACTGTATCCAGCAGCATATCAAAAAGCTTATTCACCACGAACAGGTCAGCTTCATCCCTAAGATGCAAGGATGGTTCAACATATGCAAATCAATAAACATAATCCAACACATAAACAGAACCAATGACAAAAAAAACATGATTATGTCAATATTTGCAGAAAAGGCCTTAGATAAAATTTAACATCCCTTAATGTTAAAAACTCTCAATTAACTAGGTATTGATGGAACCTATCTCAAAATAATAAGAGCTATTTATGACAAACCCACAGCCAATGTCATACTGAATAGGCGAAAGCTGGAAGCATTCCCTTTGAAAATCAGCACAAGACAAGAACGCCCTCTCTCACTATTCCTATTCAACACAGTATTGGAAGTTCTGGCCAGAGCAATAAGGCTAGAGAAAGAAATAGAGGATAATCAAATAGGAAGAGAGGAAAGCAAGTTGTCTCTGTTTTTAGATAAAATGATTCTATATTTAGAAACCCCATCTTCTCAGCCCTAAAACTCCTTAAGCTGATAAGCAACTTTAGCAAAATCTCAGGATACAAAATCAATGTGCAAAATCACAAGCATTTCTATACACCAACAATAGACAAGCAGAGAGCCAAATCATGAATGAACTCCCATCCACGATTGCTAGAAAGGAAATAAAATACATAGGAATACAGCTAACAAGGGATATGAAGGTCCTCTTCAAGGAGAACTATAAACCACTGCTCAAGGAAATAAGAGAGTACACAAACAAATGGAAAATAATACCATGCTCATGGATAGGAAGAATCAATATTGTGAAAATGGCCATATGGCCCAAAGTAATTTATAGATTCAATGCTACTCCCATCAAATTACCATTGACATTCTTCACAGAATTAGAAAAAAACTACTTTGAATTTCATATGGAACCAAAAAAGAGTCTGTAGAGCCGAAATAGTCCTAAGCCAAAAGAACAAAGCTGGAGGCATCATGCTACGTGACTTCAAACTATACTACAAGGTTACAGTAACCCAAACATGGTATTCGTACCAAAACAGACATATAGACCAATGGAATATAACAGAGACCTCAAAAATAACACTACACATCTACAACCATCTGATCTTCAACAAACCTGACAAAAACAAGCAATGGGCAAATGATTCCCTATTTAATAAATGGTGCTGGGATAACTGGCTAGCCATATTTAGAAAACTGAAACTGGACCCCTTCCTTATACTTTATAAAAAAATTAACTCAAGATGGATTAAAGCCTTAAATGTAAAACCCAAAACCATCCAAACCCTCGAAGAATACCTAGGCAATACCACTTAGGACATAGGCATGGGCAAACATTTCATGATGAAAATGCCAAAAGCATTTGAAAGAAAAGCTAAAATTGACAAACAGAATCTAATTAAGTTAAAGTGCTTCTGCACAACAAAAGAAACTATCATCAGAGCAAACAGGCAACTTACAGAATGGGAGAAATTCTTTGTAATCTACCCATCTGATGAAGGTCTGATATCCAGAATCTACAATGAACCTAAATTTACAGGAAAAAAAAAACCATCAAAAATGGGCAAAGGATATGAACAGACACATCTCAAAAGAAGACATTTATGTGGCCAACAAACGTGAAAAGAAGCTCAATATCACTGAACATTAAAGAACTACAAACCAAAACCACAATGAGATACCATCTCATGCTTGTCAGAATGGTGATTATTAAAAAGTCAAGAAACAATAGATGCTGGCGAGGCTGTGGATAAGTAGGAACACTTTTAGACTGTTGGTTGGAATTTAAATTAGTTCAACCACTGTGGAAGAAAGTGTGGCAATTCTTCAAAGATTTAGAACGAGAAATACCATTTGAGTCAGCAATCCTATTACTGGGTACATACCCAAAGGGATATAAATCATTCTACTAGAAAGACACATGCATATATATGTTTATTGCAGCACTATTTACAATAGCAAAGACATGGAACCAACCCAAATGCTCCTCAATGATAGACTGGATAAAGAAAAGGTGGCACATGTATACCATGGAATACTATGCAGCCATAAAAAATGAGATCATGTCCTTTGCAGGGACATGGATGAAAATGGAAGTCATCATCCTCAGCAAACTAACACAGCAACAGAAAACCAAACACCACATGTTCTCACTCATAAATGGGAGTTGAACAATGAGAACACATGGACACAGAGAGGCGACACAACAGGGCCTGTCAGGGGGTGAGGGGTGGGGGTTTAGGGGAGGGAGAGCATCAGGACAGATTACTAATGCACGTGGGGCTTAAAACGTAGATGATGGGTTGATAGGTGTAGCAAACCACCATGGCACATGTATAGGTATACACGTAACAGACTTGCACGTTCTGCATATGTATCCCAGAACTTAAAGTAAAACTAAAAAAAAAAAGAATATTATAATAATATTTCTGAGGAAGGAAAGAGGAATTTATAAAGGAAAATGGTAGCAAAGGTACAGAAAAGTGGACATCATTGGAAAATATTTCGGGAAAAGAGACAAACAAATTATCAGTGATTGGTTATGGGAAAAGACAAAGAAATAATCAAACATACTTTCTAGGAATTTAGCTTGTGCTTCTGGGTAAATGTTTATGTCATTTAATGACATGATGAAAACAAAGAAAAATATTTGAGTGATATATCAAGAGAGTACCTTGTAATATATTAAGTTTGAGATAATTATGAGGGATACTATGTAAGTACGTAGTTGTACCACTCTAGAATTTAGAGAAATATTCAAGACTAGAGATGAAAGTCCAGGAGTTATCATCATATATGTATTGTTTACAGCCATGTGACTGGCCTGGAGAACTGAGGAAGAAAATATACATAGAGAAGCAAGAATGGCATTGGATAAATCTCTGGGAACCCCATAGTTAAGAGTTTAAGTAGAGAAGAAATCATCCAAGGAGTTTGACAAAGATTAGTCAACGAGGTAAGAAAAAGATTACCTCAGAGTGTGAAGCCACAGAAGTCAAGGTAAGACAGTATTTAAATGAGGGAAGAGTAATAAATCACACTGAAAGAATTGAGAGGTAAAGCAGAGGCCAAACATGTGACCAAAGGTTTTGGTAAAAGTCAATTACTGTGAAGCTTGCTGAAAGCTATTCAGCCCAGTAGGCTGATCCAGAGATACATTGCTACATATTTTTAAGAGAATTTGGGTGAGGAAGTGAAAGCAGTTAAAGGCAGATGTATTGAGAAGCTAATGAGGCTTAAATGTCAGGGCTCCTTGTTTGGACCGCCCATGCCTGTACTAGCTATCTTTAGATGCCTCCAAGAAAGAGAAAATATCCATTTATTTTATCTTCTGTATAACTTATACTACTAATCAAATTACTACCACTAAAGCAACAGGTAAACTGCTGAAAGTTATGTTTTCTTCCTTAATGCTTTTCCCAATAAGGCTTTCAACATAAAGCTTTACAGAGATTGACATTTGTTTAAATACACTGTTAACACTTTGAGTTGTACTACCACTGTGTATTTTATGATTTTTTTTTAATGATAACAGTTGGCCCAGAAAGCTTGCTTAATGACCCCTAACTCCTTCAGAAAAAAAAAATGCAAATGTTGAACTAAAAACTGCTAAGTTGTTTCTCAAATCACATTTGACAATTTAAAATGCTATTATATTTTATGAATAAACCTATTTAAACCAATTACCTTCAAATCCTATGTAAAATGTACTTGATATACAAACTATATTCAATTATAGTACAGAAAACAAATTTAACAAAGTTATTTAGTGTATACATCTTAAGAGACATATAATAGTGCCATAAAGTAAGTGTGTCACAATACACCCAGAAAAATGTCAAACTATACTAGTTGTGCCAGCAATGGCTCCAAAAACTCTAAAATCAGTATACGGCATTGTGGTCATATATACAATTTAATAAAAGCTACTGAGGTTTTGAGCAACCTCTTTGAGTTCTCTAAGAAATGAATATATAAGAAAAAAATAAGAGAAAGACAAGAACACAGGTAGGACAACTTCGTGATGTATTCCATGTAATCTAATCATTGTTTAACCAATAAGACTAAACACATGGCACCATCTGAGATGCTCTGGTCTTATTTTACTTGGCATTTCCCTGGCTTCCAGAAATATTGTGGCAGCAACAGTTTATCTTTTCCCAATAACATATAAAAGTAAGTAGAACAAAGTCTTTTTTGGTACCTCCATCATGGGCCTCTTTCCTTTTTCAGGCCAATTATGTAACTAAATCAAATCGAATAAAGCAAATCTAGGATTATAGAGTCATTTAGAGAAATCATGCATAAATATATGCATACATGAATTATTTTAATATTTCCTTGTTCTTAGAAAAAAGGGTACTTCTTTCAGTGAAAGACAGAATTCCACAGAATAAAACAGGTATTTTATTTCTAAAACCTAGACAAGTTTATTGTGCATATGAAATCCATCACAAATGGTCTTAGTGAATACTTTTTAACTAATAGTAAAGAATCTTAATCCTTCTTCTGTAAAGTAACATTATTTTAAAATCTATAGTTACTTGCAATACCATTGCTTAAAACAATTCGAAGAATCTTATTAGAACCTGTTTTCAAAAATCTAAAACTATTTCAGAATAAATAGCTTCAACAAATACAAATTAATGTATATTTCATATTTGAACGTTGTACGTTAATGCCCACACGGTTTTATCTGCACAAATCAATAGGATGTTTCAGTAATACTAATGATCTAATTCTAATTCAAATGGCTTCTCACCATGTTTGTAATTCAAGGGAAATCTAATTTTTGAATATTATATTTCAGAAATAGTATGATATTACAAATAAGGAAAAGATATATATATATATATATACGTTTAGATGTACAATGGTGTCTGTTTGTAGCATTGGGTTAGCAAGTTCCCTTCTTCTTCAACTTCCCTTTGGAGAAGTTCTTGCTAGTGCTTAGTTCCTTTTTTCTTTCTACTACATTTTCATAAATCTCCATGCCTTCAATATTAGAACTAGAGGCTTAACACTTTTTTTCTAGTATCACCTTTTTCCTTGTAGACTGAAGTTCCTGTACCTGCATTTCTGTCTAGTTCCACATGGCTATGGGCTTCTAAACATTTTCACTAACATCTACCTTACACTCACATACGCTGAGTAAGCCTTACTACTGAAGAATGACAGCATTACATGCCTTACTGAGAATTTAAGCTAGAATGTGCTTAGCCAGACCATACAAAAGAACCACCAAAAACAATGCTCTATAAATGCAGAAGTTATGCCAAATTCAGTGAACTCTCCAGTTTCCATGTAATGCAAGAGCCAAGTTCTCCCTTCACTGACATTGTATTCTGTTGTCTACTTTGAGCAGCTTAGCAGCATTTTTCGCTTTTTTGCAGAATTGATGAGAATCCAAATGTGAGGTTCTTCTCATTTTAACTCTTGATGAAGAATCTAAGTGTTGAAAGCACCAGGTGCAAAAACAAGTTGTTTACTGCATCAATTTAGACTATTTCTCAATGTAGTTGACAGAGATTATTTAGAAAAACAATTATGTTGCACCTTAGTTTTGTTTTGTTTTGTTTTGTTTTTTTGAGATGGAGTCTCGCTCTGTCGCCCAGGCTGGAGTGCAGTGGCGCGATCTCCACTCACTGCAAGCTCTGCCTCCCGGGTTCAGGCCATTCTCCTGCCTCAGCCTCCCAAGTAGTCTGGACCACAGGCGCCTGCCACCACGCCTGGTGCATTTTTTTGTATTTTTAGTAGAGACAAGGTTTCACCGTGTTAGCCAGGATGGTCTCGATCTCCTGACCTCATGATCCACCCTCCTTGGCCCCCCAAAGTGCTGAGAGATTACAGATGTGAGCCACCGCGCCCGGCCAGTTTCTTTTTGTTGTTGTTGGTTTTTTTAAATTATACTTTAAGTTCTAGGGTACATGTGCACAACGTGCAGGTTTGTTACACATGTATACGTGTGCCATGTTGTTGTGCTGCACCCATTAACTCGTCATTTACATTAGGTATATTTCCCAATGCTATCCCTCCCCCTTCCCCTCACCCCATGACAGGCCCCAGTGTGTGATGTTCCCCTTCCTGTGTCCAAGTGTTCTCATTGTTCAATTCCCACCTATAAGTGAGAACATGCAGTATTTGGTTTTTATCTTTGCGATACTTTGCTGAGAATGATGGTTTCCAGCTTCATCCATGTCCCTACAAAAGACATGAACTCATCCTTTTTAAAGGCTGCATAGTATTCCATGGTGTATATGTGCCACATTTTCTTAATCCAGTCTATCACTGATGGACATTTGGGTTAGTTCCAAGTCTTTGCTATTGAGAATAGTGCCGCAATAAACATACATGTGCATGTGTCTTTATAGCAGCATGATTTATAATCTTTTGGGTATATACCCAGTAATGAGATGGCTGGGTCAAATGGTATTTCTAGCTCTAGATCCTTGAGGAATCGCCACACTGTCTTCCACAATGGTTGAACTAGTTTACAGTCCCACCAACAGTGTAAAAGTGTTCCTATTTCTCCACATCCTCTCCTGCACCTGTTGTTTCCTGACTTTTTAATGATCCCCATTCTAACTGGTGTGAGATGGTATCTCATTGTGGTTTTGATTTGCATTTCTCTGGTGGCCAGTGATGATGAGCATTTTTTCATGTGTCTTTTGGCTGCATAAATGTCTTCTTTTGAGAAGTGTCTGTTCATGTCCTTTGCCCACTTTTTGATGGGGTTGTTTGATTTTTTCTTATAAGTTTGTTTGAGTTCTTTGTAGATTTTGGATATTAGGCTTTTGTCAGATGAATAGATTGCAAAAATTTTCTCCCATTCTGTAGGTTGCCTGTTCACTCTGATGGTAGTTTCTTTTGCTGTGCAAAAGCTCTTTAGTTTAATTAGATCCCGTTTGTCAATTTTGGCTTTTGTTGCCATTGCTTTTGGTGTTTTAGACATGAAGTCCTTGCCCATGCCTATGTCCCGAATGGTATTGCCTAGGTTTTCATCTAGGGTTTTTATGGTTTTAGGTGTAACATTTAAGTCTTTAATCCATCTTGAATTAATTTTTGTATAAGGCGTAAGGAAGGGATCCAGTTTCAGCTTTCTACATGTGGCCAGCCAGTTTTCCCAGCACCATTTGTTAAATAGGGAATCTTTTCCCCGTTTTTTCTTTTTGTCAGGTTTGTCAAAGATCAGATGGTTGTAGATGTGTGGTATTATTTCTGAGGGCTCTGTTCTGTTCCATTGGTCTATATCTCTGTTTTGGTACCAGTACCATGCTGTTTTGGTTACTGTAGCCTTGTAGTATAGTTTGAAGTCAGGTAGCATGATGCCTCCACCTTCTTTCTTTTGGTTTAGGATTGTCTTGGCAGTGTGGGCTCTTTTTTGGTTCCATATGATATTTAAAGTAGTTTTTTCCAATTCTGTGAAGAAAGTCATTGGTAGCTTGATGGGGATGACACTGAATCTATAAATTACCTTGGGCAGTATGGCCATTTTCACGATAATGATTCTTCCTATCCATGATCATGGAATGTTCTTCCATTTGTTTGTATCCTCTTTTATTTCATTGAACAGTGGTTTGTAGTTCTTGAAGAGGTCCTTCATATCCCTTGTAAGTTGGACTCCTAGGTATTTTATTCTCTTTGAAGCAATTGTGAATGGGAGTTCACTCATGATTTGGCTTTCTGTTTGTCTTTTATTGGTGTATAAGAATGCTTGTAATTTTTACACATTGATTTTTATCCTGAGACTTTGCTGAAGTTGCTTATCAGCTTAAGGAGATTTTGGGCTGAGAAAATGGGGTTTTCTAAATATACAATCATGTCGTCTGCAAACAGGGACAATTTGACTTCCTCTTTTCCTAATTGAATCCCCTTTATTTCCTTCTCCTGCCTGATTGCCCTGGCCAGAACTTCCAACACTATGTTGAATAGGAGTGGTGAGAGAGGACATCCCGTCTTGTGCAAGTTTTCAAAAGGAATGCTTCCAGTTTTTGCCCAATCAGTGTGATATTGGTTGTGGGTTTGTCATAAATAGCTCTTATTATTTTGAGATACGTCCCATCAACACCTAATTTATTGAGAGTTTTTAGCATGAAGGGCTGTTGAATTTTGTCAAAGGCCTTTTCTGCAAATATTGAGATAATCATGTGATTTTTGTTTTTGGTTCTGTTTATATGCTAGATTACATTTATTGATTTGCATATGTTGAACCAGCCTTGCATCCCAGGGATGAAACACACTTGATCATGGTGGATAAGCTATTTGATGTGCTGCTGGGTTCAGTTTGCCAGTATTTTATTGAGGATTTTTGCATCGATCTTCATCAGGGATATTTGTCTAAAATTCTCTTTTTTTGTTGTGTCTCTGCCAGGCTTTGGTCCTCAGGATGATGCTGGCCTCATAAAATGACTTAGGGAGGATTCCCTCTTTTTCTATTGATTGGAATAACTTCAGAAGAAATGGTACCAGCTCCTCCTTGTACCTCTGGTAGAATTTGGCTGTGAGTCCCTCTGGTCCTGGACTTTTTCTGGTTGGTAGGCTATTAATTATTGCCTCAATTTCAGAGCCTGTTATTGGTCTATTCAGGGATTCAACTTCTTCCTGGTTTAGTATTGGGAGGGTGTATGTGTCCAGGAATTTAACCATTTCTTCTAGATTTTCTAGTTAATTTGCAGAGAGGTGTTTATAGTATTCTCTGATGGTAGTTTGTATTTCTGTGGGATCAGTGGTGATATCCCTTTATCATTTTTTATTGCATCTATTTGATTCTTCTCTCTTTTATTCTTTATCAGTCTTGCTAGTGGTCTATCAATTTTGTTGATCTTTTCAGAAAACCAGCTCCTGGATTCATTGATTTTTTGAAGGGTGTTTTGTGTCTCTATCTCCTTCAGTTGTGCTCTGATCTTAGTTATTTCTTGCCTTCTGCTAGCTTTTGAATGTGTTTGCTCTTGCTTTTCTAGTTCTTTTGTGATGTTAGGGTGTCAGTTTTAGATCTTTCCTGCTTTCTCTTGTGGGCATTTAGTGCTATACATTTCCCTCTACACACTGCTTTAAATGTGTCCCAGAGATTCTGGTATGTTGTGTCTTTGTTCTCATTGGTTTCAAAGAACATCTTTATTTCTGCCTTTATTTCGTTATGTACCCAGTAGTCACTCAGGAGCAGGTTGTTCAGTTTCCATGTAGTTGAGCGGTTTCGAGTGAGTTTCTTAATCCTGAGTTCTAGTTTGATTGCACTGTGGTCTGAGAGACAGTTTGTTATAATTTCTGTTCTTTTACATTTGCTGAGGAGTGCTTTACTTCCACCTATGTGGTCAATTTTGGAATAAGTGTGATGTGGTGCTGAGAAGAATGTATATTCTGTTGATTTGGGGTGGAGAGTTCTGTAGATGTCTATTAGGTCTGCTTGGTGCAGAGCTGAGTTCAATTCCTGGATATCCTTGTTAACTTTCTGTCTTGTTGATCTGTCTAATGTTGACAGTGGGATGTTAAAGTCTCCCATTATTATTGTGTGGGAGTCTAAGTCTCTTTGTAGGTCTCTAAGAACTTGCTTTATGAATCTGGGTGCTCCTGTATTGGGTGCATATATATTTAGGATAGTTAGCTCTTCTTGTTGAATTGATACCTTTACCATTATGTAATGGCCTTCTTTGTCTCTTTTGATCTTTGTTGGTTTAAAGTCTGTTTTATCAGAGACGAGGATTGCAACCCCTGACTTTTTTTGTTTTCCTTTTGCTTGGTAGATCTTCCTCCATCCCTTTATTTTGAGCCTATGTGTGTCTCTGCATGTGAGATGGGTCTCCTGAATATAGCACACTAATGGGTCTTGACTCTTTTTACAGTTTGCCAGTCTGTGTCTTTTAATTGGAGCATTTAGCTCATTTACATTTAAGGTTAATATTGTTATGTGTGAATTTGATCCTGTCATTATGATGTTAGCTGGTTATTTTGCTCATTAGTTGATGCAGTTTCTTCCTAGCATTGCTGGTCTTTACAATTTGACATGTTTTTGCAGTGGCTGGTACCGGTTGTTCCTTTCCATGTTTAGTGCTTCCTTCAGGAGCTCTTGTAGGGCAGGCGTGATGGTGACAAAATCTCTCAGCATTTGCTTGTCTGTAAAGGATTTTATTTCTCCTTCACTTATGAAGTTTAGTTTGGCTGGATATGAAATTCTGGGTTGAAAATTCTTTTTTTTTAAGAATGTTGAAACTCTTCTGGCTTGTAGAGTTTCTGCTGAGAGATCCGCTCTTAGTTTGATGGGCTTCCTTTTGTGGGTAACCCAACCTTTCTCTCTGGCTGCCCTTAATATTTTTTCCTTCATTTCAACTTTGGTGAATCTGACAATTATGTGTCTTGGAGTTGCTCTTCCTGAGGAGTATCTTTGTGGCGTTTTCTGTATTTCCTGAATTGGAATGTTGGCCTGCCTTGCTAGGTTGGGGAAGTTCTCCTGGATAATATCCTGCAGAGTGTTTTCCAACTTGGTTCCATTCTCCCTGTCACTTTCAGGTATACCAATCAGACATAGATTTTGTGTTTTCACACAGTCCCATATTTCTTGGAGGCTTTGTTCATTTCTTTTTACTCTTTTCTCTCTAAACTTCTCGCTTCATTGCATTCATTCATTCATTAGTGATCTTCAATCACTGATACCCTTCCTTCCAGTTGATCAAATCGGCTACTGAAGCTTGTGCATTCATCACGTAGTTCTCGTGCCATGGTTTTCAGCTCCATCAGGTCATTTAATCACTTCTCTACACTGATTATTCTAGTTAGCCATTCATCTAATCTTTTTTCAAGGTTTTAGCTTCTTTGTGATGGGTTTGAACTTCTTCCTTTAGCTTGGAGAAGTTTGATCGTCTGAAGCCTTCTTCTCTCAACTCGTCAAAGTCATTCTCCGTCCAGCTTTGTTCCATTGCTGGCAAGGAGCTGCATTCCTTTGGAGGGTGAGAGGTGCTCTGATTTTTAGAATTTTCAGCTTTTCTGCTCTGTTTTTTTCCCCGTCTTTGTGGTTTTATCTACCTTTGGTCTTTGACGATGGTGATGTACAGATGGGGTTTTGGTGTGGATGTCCTTTCTGTTTGTTAGTTTTCCTTCTAACAGTCAGGACCCTCAGCTGCAGGTCTGTTGGAGTTTGTTGGCGGTCCACTCCAGACCCTGTTTGCCTGGGTATCAGCAGCGGAGGCTGCAGAACAGCAAATATTGCTGAACAGCAAATGTTGCTGCCTGATCGTTCCTCTGGAAGCTTCATCTCAGAGGGGTACCCAGCCGTGTGGGGTGTTAGTTGTTTTAATAAGCCTTGCTAAACTCTTTCTCTATCTATATCCTACTACTGTTAAATGCTTGACATACCGTATCTTATCTACTTCTTTCAGAAGACACACTGTACTTTTCCGCATTACCATTGGCAAGTGGGTGCAGTTTGTCCATAAATTCTATATCTTCAGTTAGGCAGTAGAGCCACTGATAGCGCAGAGTGACTGAAAAGCATTTTATTATTTTGCTCAAACAGGGATTTACCTTATAAATTTGGTCCTAGCTACAATTGTTTTTTTCAAATTTTATGTGATCATGGGAAAAACAAAACACAATAAAACAAAAAAATTTACCTTCTTGTTTCTTCTAAGGGAGATTTACATGTTTTAGTTGTAGTGCACCTAAGGCATTATCATATATATTATTTCTAGCAATCTAAAGCAATTTCTAAAATCTCTACTTCTTCATCTTCTTGTTTCTGAGAATCAAAATTTTAACAATAGCTTTTCAATTTCCTCTTGCTGCCTCAGGTTTGCTGTTATATTATAATGCATTCTCTCACAATGAGTTTACTCAAAAACTGAAAGAAAGCACATTCATAACTAAAAACTAACCAAAAACTTACTTGTTGACTATTTGTGAATATTCTCATGGGTAAAAGGTGATTTTGATTGAGATGCTAAATTTACTTTTCTGCTGCTGACTTGGGCTCTTTTTGCTTTTCTTTGAGTTTGCTTCAGATATCACAACAACAAAAATAAGAAAGATTAAATTATTAACTCCTGCTAAAACACATATATGGCACACAGGGCTTTAAACAGGTATAAGAGTCATAATATTTAGGAAACAGCTGCTTTTCAACCTTTCCAGAATTTTTGCAATCTGGCTCTTTTAGTGATTCTTCACTTATTGGTTTCTCATACCCATTTCCAAAATAATCTTTCCTTAGTCATTATTTTTTAAATATAGATAGAGTTGTGTTTCAAACTGATACTAGAGGATATCTTTTTAAAATCTAAATTTTAAATTTCCCAAGCTCTACTAAAATCAACATATAGTAAAGCTAAATAATTTTTTCCTGCTTGAAGGTGAACAGGAGAGTGATGAGATATGACCATGCGCCATGTATGAGTCCATAGAAGAGCATGTGCCTGAGTAACCTCCAGTTGCCTCAACTTTGGCTAGCTGCCAGAAGCCTGATATCAGGTCATACTGGAATGACTGTACACCCCCGTTTTTTGGTATTCTTCACTGATCTGCCACTACCACTTCAGAAGAATAGCTGCTCTCTTTGTCCTCCTATCGTAACATTTAATTTGACTCATATAGATGAGAATGGGAAGCCCTAAGTTCTGTACCTTGAAGATTCCATTAACATTTTAGAACACTAACTAGGATAGGAGATCTAGTGTCAAAAAGCCTGTGTTAATAATTTTTTGTTTTTGTTTTTATTTGTCCTGGCTACTATGTTGACTGCATGAGAAATCCAGACAATTTTTTCTATAAGAACTGTACTCTTCACTAAAGTCAGTAATTTAGCAAATGTTTTTCTAATTCAATACTATTAAAATAAGTGCATACATATAACAGACATTAAACTGTAACAAGGTTTAATAGGAGTAGAAATGCTAGGCATTTAATAGAAATGTTAGGCAGAAATATTTGACTCCTTCCTGCCCCTACCTCTAGGCACTGACTCATTTTATTAATCTCATTAAATTCAGGAAGCTTTTGGATCATCTTCCAAACTAAATTAATAAAAAACTTAATTCTTCTCAGATTTAAGAGATCTCTCATGCAAGGAACTATATAATTTCCTGCTGTGCTTTTGTAGAGCATTTGACCAATATTAGTATGATATTGGCTGATAAACTTTAAAAGAGTCTGCTTACTTTCCCAGAGCATGTATGCGTATTCATAACCTTCCTGATTCCTCTATAAATCCTTAACACTTGAGGCTTCAAACCAGGCTTGAATTTAGTTCCCTCAGGCTCTACTTTAAATCAAATCAAATGCTACATTTTTCCAACCCTTATTGAAATCGATTCTCCCTGAAGCTGTGGGAGGAGAAAGTCCTTTTTGTCTTTGCTTTCTTAGTCTGTCTTCAGTGTCTCTAAAAGAGAAAAAGAAGAGTTTAAAGAAAGCCAGGCTGTTTTGCACTGACCCTCAAATGCCTGATGTGGAATAATACACTCTGACTTCCAGTTCCTTCTTGTTCATGACTGCTTCATCTTGTTGTGCAAAAAAAGTATTGTTTCCATTAAAGTAGTCAATCACCTTTGCTTTTCATTTATTTAACGAAAATAGCGTAGAAAGTCATGTGGGAACTTTTTTCCCGAACAAGTAGAAGCCTGATGAACTAAAACATTAAAATGTCTCGAGTCACTTGCAAAGCTCAGATTATAAGGTAAACATGAATTCTAAAGGGTGACAAGCACCTTCGAAAAGAAACAGGACTTACAAATTCACTTTTCAATAGCATACTGAGAGGAGGTGCCAGCTGGGCTTCCTGGGTCGAGTAGGGGCTCAGAAAGCTGTGAAACTCACTCATTTCCTGCATCAGGACTTACTTCGGTCCTGGATGAGTAATATTGAAGATATATGCTTAAAATATTCCTATCACGAGGATTTGTTCATGTGTTTTCTTCCCCAAGAAAGCTATAAACAGGGAAAATTTTGCGGTAAGTTTCCCTGTGTCCTTCTCTCGCTCTCTCCCTTCCCCCTCCCACAAAACTAAAGTAAAAGGAACGTTAACTGCCCGTTTTTCTGTGACCAGCGGACCTTATCGATACTCCCAATTCCAATTCCTTGTAAACACACTTTGTAAAGTCCTGTAAGATCCTGTCTCCTTTGCCATGCCGCTGCAAGGTCATAAAGTAGATAAAACTTAAGTTGCAATTCAGGTTTTCCTCAAAATCTAAGACATGTCCCAAAATAATTTACTGCCTTTGTTTCTTGCTCCTATAACAAGCTTCCTGCCTCACATATCTCCCACCTTAAAAAGTTTAAAAGGCAAATACCCAAACCAGCAGTGGCTACCCATTCGGGACCCCTTCCATGCTGTGGAAGCTTTGTACTCTCACTCTGCTCAATAAAGCCTACAGCTTTTTCTCTCTCTTGGTCCATGTCTCTATCACTCGCCGCGGTCAGCCACCACATCAATTCTTTGGCGTGGCTAGGCAAGAACCTCGGGCATTACAATAAGAGGAAGTAGTGGCCACTATATGAGCATATAAGAATAAATATGATACAATTTTAGTAAATTAAGGGCTCAGTATAGACTAACATGTAAATTTTGAATAAATAGGAGTCCCAGACATAAGGGAAATTTCCATTCAGTTGCAAGTTTTTTTCCAATGGGTCTCCATCAGGTACTTTCAAGAAAGACTGTGTTCGGGGCAGGAAAAAATAAATAAATTCTATCGGAATAAAAGAGAATAAAAAATCTTATCCTTAGAGTGGAGAAAAAGATACATTATTTCCAGAGAAAGGAATAGAAGCAAAAGCCATCTGCCACTGTGAAAGAGACACAAAATATTCTTGAGGATTCTGTCCCAAAGGAAAGGCTATAACTGCTACCACTCGAGAGTAGCAGGAAATTTGCTTCTCAAGAATAACCAAAGATACAAGGCATAATTTGGCTTCTATGGAGGTATAGAGAATTGTAGAAACACTGAGAAATAATATAGTTGAAGTCCAGTCTCAAAGGGCCTAGTTGAACTTCAAGGACTGAGTCCTCCTGCTCCGTAGCATAATACTGAGCTGCACACTGAGAAATATGCTACAGTAGTAGTCAAAAACAGGAAGAAAATCTGTGTGTGCAGTGCCGGTGTCACAGACTGAATGACACTAAGAAAAACTACCATAGCACAGACATTACAATAGCCATAAAGTAATAGTAGCTAAGTGATGGAGGAATTTGAAAACTGAGGATCACAGAAGTAATGATAACAACATAATTCAAACCCAGTTCAACTTCTGACAAAATTAACTCAAATACTTCACAATAATGGTTTTCAAGAGGAATGGCATGTCCATTTCCATGTATAAATATAATTTACCAATTCTCTACAGCTCTACAAAATAATGTCTGTCATTCTGACAGCAGAGAATAGGTAAATTATATTTATACATGGAAGTGGACATGCCATTTCCATTTTGTGTTATGTGTATGTCACACAAAACAGAGAAAGAGAAAACCTTATCAGTTAGTAGTAAATCAACAGAATAAGACTCAGATGATCCTCATGATGGAACCATCAGAAAAGATCTTTAAAATATTTATGACTAATATGTTAAAAATATCTAGTGGAAAAGGTAGACAATATGCATGAACAGATGGAACATTTTAGTAGGGAAAAACTATAAATAGGAGTCAAATGGAAATGATAAGGAAAAATTATTTAGCAGTATTATTAGCTGACTAGACATAGCACATAAAAGTGAACTTGAAGATCAATAAAAATTACCCAAAGTGAAACACAATGAGAAAAAACAATGGTCAGAAAAAAGTAGAACAGGATATTACAAAGCTATGGAATATTATCAAATTATCTATCACACATATATTAGAGTCCCAAAAGGAGAAGAATAAAAGAATAAAGCAGTGTTTTGTGGGCAGTTTAGAGCATTAAAATATTGTATATTGGAAAAAAAAATTTCAACTCAATAATCTAAGATTTCACCTTTGAAACTAGAAGAGTTTTACTCATGGCTGATCCTAAGTGTGTATCCAGATTATAGAGGCTGGTTCAAAATGTTTATTTCCTTTTCTCATCAGTTAAATTTTCAGCTCCTATACAGTTAGTCTTAGGAGGAACTTAGATTACTGTTTTCTTTATCTTCCTGCCCTCTTCCTTTTCCAGGCTGTTAAGTGTTCTAATTAGAAAAATTCTCATTTGGAGAGCATTCCTGAGAAAACAATGGGTATCTTCAGGGTAGATAAATCTTTAAACTTATTAGTGTGAGTCAGATTTTTCTGACCCTTCAGAGTACAATATCCACAGACAAAATATTTTATCTGCTTCTATTATTTTTATATTACTTCCATGCACTAATTTGAACTTCATTGATTTTTATTGCATAGCAAATCTCTTTATATTATTAATGCACGTTTAACTATATTTTCCTCTCAAATATAAATTGTTTGGCATATCAATTCTCTTTCTGAACAAGAAAATGATCTTTCCATATCTTATCAAGTAAATATCTGTTCCATTCTTCAAAGATATCTTACATTTTTAAAGTATTTCTGCAAAATAGTTTTATTACTAATTTTGAATTGCATAAATCTATACAGTTTTCCCCATCATTGTGCATATTTCAAGCCAATACTTTTCTATGAACATACAATAAAACTATATGTCCTCACCTGCTTGCATTTAAATGTGATCATGATGTTTATTCCCTGAAGGTATAGCACTAATGTGTTCTTATTCTTCCGTACTTTGGTTGGAAGCAAAGAATTTCCATATAGGGAAATCACATGATGGAAAGAGCCAGAGCCCTGCAACCTCTGTTGGAAGAGTCAACTAGAAGTGTTTCTTGGACTGCATGAGTTTTTGCTCTAAGCAAGGAAAAAAAATATGTGTTTGCTTGAGTCACTAAGATTCGTTTGTTTTGTTTGCTTGAGTCACTAAAATTTGCTAGTTACCATTAATTTCAACAACTTTACTGTTAAATATTTCATATTTTGTATTATTAGACAATAGGCAATGATTTGTCATTAATTAGATTGTTATTAGCAGTTTTTAAACTGTAGTAATGTTTTCCATATACTATAAAGTTACTTAATTTAAGAAAGATTTGGCTGGGCACGGTGGCTCACGCCTGTAATCCCAGCACTTTGGGAGGCTGCAACGGGCAGATCACGAGGTCAAGAGATCAAGACCATCTGGCCAACATGGTGAAACCCCGTCTCTACTAAAAATACAAAAATGAGCTGGGCCTCGTGGCACACGCCTATAGTCCCAGCTACTCAGGAGGCTGAGGCAGGAGAATCGCTTGAACCTAGGAGGCAGAGGTCGCAGTGAGCCGAGATCGTGCCACTGCACTCCAGCCTGGCAACAGAGTGAGACTCTGTCTCAAAAAAAAAAAAAAAAAAAGTTTTATTTGGTGAATGAAGGAACATGCAAAGAAGTAAAAATCCAAACATTGGATTCTATTTCCTACTCTTCACTCAAAAAAATCACTAGATAAGCAAGTAAAAAATCTCAACTTGAGTCTTGATTTTGACACAATTACATTCTTGATCCTTAGATAAAATATGCAATGTAAAACATGTTTGAATTAAATTTTCTGACTGGCTTCTGTTCTCTCATCTCTTGCTATACTGTCAACCATTTTAAGCACTCCACTTGAGGGTATGATTCTGAAAATACTGATTTTTAAGATAATAACCCATATAATATTATAATAAATATTTTAAAAGATATATCTGATGTGACTTGTGAAGTTACTAAGATACACTCTTCTTTTCAAAATAAAGATGTGGTCATCAACTTTAATAAATTTTAATTAGAAATTTAGCCTCAGATGTCATATCTTAGTTGCCAGATATTTCTAAACATGTTTTTGTTCTTATCTCTCAAATATTTCTCTCAAACATACGCAAATTTTAGAGTTGGTTAATCACTGCCTAGTGTGTTGCTATACATGCTGTCTTTGCTTACCTGAATTATTTCACTACAGAAGAGAATCAGTTGAAAAAGTCACTTTGCCTGAAGAAATACAATTTGTAGGGCAGTGGGAGTTCAAGATTGATGCTACTAAAAGAGCAGGCAAGCAAAACATTGAAGAATACTTCTTGTCAAATGTTCCTTGAAAATAAACTCTATAGCCTACATGGGAATGTAGTTAAACAAAGAGACGCTAAGGGTAATTTAGCAGACTCTTTGAAGGAATGAAAAGTAGGCACCATACTTGCTTTGTCAATTGTGTGGAAGAACATTTAACTTGAGCCCCTGCTGAAATAAAACTATTTAATTACACTTGAGAAAAAGAAAGAGAAAAAAGTTTTTCCTTTGAAGTTTCAGATTTACTATTTCATTTACAGTCTAAAACTATAGACAACACGAGGATAAAGAATAGAGACAACCTATTTCTAAATCACTAACAAAACAATTGATAAGTTATATTTAAATAAATAACCCCCCAAATCAATAAATAGTATAAAAGTAGGAAAAAAGAAACACCTTATGGAAATTTGTTTTAATAAAAACATTAAAATATGGTCAAGTCTAACTCATACTCAATACCTGCTGAATTTGGACAGCATAGCAAGCTTTTAAAAATATCTTTGCTATGTTCCAACCTAATGATGCCACTCAGTTGGCTATAAAATAAAATTCAAATATTTTATTCTGACTTTTAGAATTCTCACAAATTCAGACAATATCAGCAATATTATGTTATGTCCAGAATTATTACAGGGCCATTGTGAAATGTTAATGTAATCACTGAGCCCAAATACAGCTTGTATATTAACACTTTCATATTTTGGCCCAAGCGTTTGACTTCTCATGAATATCCATGGAGTTAATGATTTACACATACTTGGCCTTCAGTATACTTATTCTTCAGTTATTTACTTTAATTCATCTTGAAAATTTTGATTCTAAATAAAAAGTTTATATTTTTCCACTAATATTGGTGAGAAAATATTTATTTCATGACAAACCAAATAACAAAACAATTTTCACATATAAAAATTATATATGCTTGATAATAAAAACATTTTAAATAAATATATAGTTTACACATAAAAAAATTTTTTTTTTGTATTTGCCAACAGAGGAACACTTCATAGTGTGTGATGATTGATGAAAGATGGACACAAGTGAGGTATTCTTTACAAGATTCATTCTTCTTTACTTACTATATTTTTTATCATTTTGCAATTTATGGGGCTTACAGGTTTCCCATAGTGAAACTGCACTCAGCCTTGAGGTACTCTAGCTTTTTCATGTTAGGTAAATGAGTAAGAACCAGACAAAGCAGCTGAGCAGGAATTACCACTAAAATAGGAGCAATACCAGGAGAGCAAAACAGATACATAACTAACTAGAGTTAGTTCCTAAAGGCCCTAGTATCTAACAAAAGATTTTACAAAAGATGGAAAAAAAAAGGATGAGAGTAAGAGAAATTTTAAATGTTTCTAGAAAAATATCTGCAAGAATATCCTTGTCTACCTAAAAGTATAAGGTTAAAATATCACTTTTTTAATAGTGTATACTTGTCTGGTTTTGGCCATTTAAAAGTGATTCATTGTTTCAAAAATGATAAAACTTTTGTTCCAGTTATGCAGTTATGCATTGCTATGTAACAAACACTATAAAAAAATAGTGGCATTAAAAAGCAAACAAAAAGATTTACAATGCTTCTATATTCTATAAATCAGAAGTTCAGAAATAAACAGAGGGTTAACTTATTTCTACCTGACAGTATTTGAGGACCTAATTGATAAGGTTCTAATTGAGGACCTAATTAAATGACTAACAGTCAAACAATTCCCAAACATCTAGAATATTCTTTTGTCACATGTCTGATATGTGAGCTGAAATGACTCAAAAACTGGATTCAGCCAAGGCTGTCCAAGGGAGTGTGTCTACATAACAGCTAACCATGTGACTTAGTCTTCCTAACAGTATGGCAGCCTCTGATTAGACAGATTTCTTACATAATGGTTCAGACCTCTCAAGTATTCTAGGAAGCAAGGAGAAACTTGTAAGACTTTTTTTTTATGACCTAAATTCAAAATTATGCACTGCTATTTCTATTCCATTCTATTCTATCGGTTGATGTAGTCACAGGCTTGCCCAGATTCAAGAAAGTGGGACACACACCTCACCTTTCTATTGGGTCAATATAAGGAAAAGTCTATAGCCTACTCAAAAATAAATTAGTGTGCACATGTGCTTGTGTGTTTGTGAAAATACCATCCAATATACATCATTTTTAAAAAACAAGTATTTGTATATTGCATCATTTAATTACTTTATTTACCTTTCACTGCTTATTTACTTAATATATGCCAAACTCTGTGCTAAGGGCTAATAGTACATATATGAATATAGCAAGTGTATTTTCTGCCATATTGGATACAATAATGAAAGAAAAATAAACTAATAGAAAATAACAATACAGGATAAAGTTATATGTCTTAAGATTCAAGAATATATCCAAGACCTGAGTTTCAGAGGGAATACAGTACCTGAGGAAATATAATACATAGGTTACACATTTGTTGGAAGCACAGAGCAAAAACTAAGATAGGGTAAATATTCAAAGATCAGAAGTTCTAATATCCGTGGGATGAAGCTCATGAGCCTGTACTTAGCATCCTGCTCTTAAAATTGATTTGGGAACTTCTGGAAGGAGTCTCCCTTTCTGTTAGTAAAACCACTGAAAAAAGAAACGATTCTGGCTGGATTACTGGAGTCTGGAGTGACTCCAGCTGCCATATCAGAAAAAAACAGGAGCTGACAACATCTCTGTACTGCCCAGACTTCTGACTTTTGACCAGTACCTCTGGGAGGCAGAAGTTAATATCAAGACCACAAGAAAAGGATCGGAGAAATGTTTGTAGACTCCCAGTCCCACCCATACGGATTGAAGGAAGCTAAGTATGAATCTAAGAGAAAGCAGGGAAATTACCAATATAAAATAAATTCTCCAGAATAGAAATGTAAACTCCATAATCCTGAAGCAGTAAAGATTTTAGATTAATAGTATATGCAGTTATGGTGGAATTTAATAAAATTGTTACCAAAGAAACACATTAATTTTTCTTATTCCATCTGCCTTTCCTTTCTATCTATGAAAAAACAGCCATTTGAAAAACAAATCTAGTACCCTGACCAAGAATTTCCTACAGAGATTTTAGATTGTTAATTTTCCTTCTAATTTTTCTCTCCTGGTTTTACTCCAATATTTCTGGTTGCTTTTTTGCAGCTTCTTTAGCTACAACTTCCTCAGTTTTCTGACCTTGAAATGGTACAGTGTTTCAGAGTTCTGACATTAAACTTTTTTCTCTTCTCTGGACACTCAGCCTAGGTTAACTCATCCAGTTTCATGGATTTAAATGTTGTCAATGTACAGATACCTCTTTAATTAATATTTTTCAACCAGAAATTCTGCCCCAAACTCCAGACCCATATAGTCATGTGTATATAAACATGTATGAAAACATGTACATATGAATATGGGTATATTGTAGGTACTCAATTGAACAAGCTCCAACTTGAACTCCTTATACTCCTCCCCTGAATCTTATTCTATGTTATTTTCCTTTTAAGTTATTGAAAACTCCAGTCATCCAAATGCACAAGTATTTAATTTTGGTGTTGTCTTTGACTTTATTCTTTTCTCATTCTTACTATAGTTATTCAGCAAATTTGGTTGTTTATACCCAGAATGTGACTACTTTACATCATTCTCGTAGCCACCACTCAGATTTAAGGTACTATATTTCTCAAATGAATAATTGCCTTAGCTTTCTGGTCTATCCCTTTGCTTTTGCCCTGTCTCCTATAGTTTAATATCAGCGTAGTAGCATAGTCGAGTGATCCTACTAAACCCAGAACTCAGATTATTTCCCTCTTCTTCTTAATGGGTTTCTGTCTCACTTGAAGCAAAATAAAAATTATTCACAGGAATTTGTTCCTACTTGATCTGGTTCCCCATGACTTTTCTCACATTTTCCTTTTCTACTCACCTCTGGCTCTCTTTGCTCCAGCAATACTGGTGTCTACTAGTCTTTGACAGTAACATCCATGCTCCCGCCTCAAAGCTTCTACTCCTGTGTGCCAGTGACTTGACATGCTCTCCTTTTAGATTTCCAAATGGCCATTTTCTCACTTTATGCATATCTTAGTTTAAAATTTACATTTTCAGTAAGGGTTTCCTAACCATCTAAAATCTGTACTCTCCCTTCTTATACTCTCCTTTCCTGGTTTGCTTTCATTTTTCTTATCACTTATCACCATTTACCATACTATACCACCACTAGCCTTCAGTAACAAGACTGTAACAACTTTATAAATACTCGAGAACTCAGGGAATACTGTACAGTCAGCAAACTTTTTCTGTAAAGGGTTAGATAATAAATGTTGTAGGCTTTGTGGCCCATATAAGGGCCTTTCCCCTCCCCCTTTGTCTTCCCTCCACCTCTTCTAGCTTCTGCTCCTCTTCATCAGCCTTCTCCTCCTCTTCCTCTTCTTCCGTGTTTTAAAAACAATTCTTTAAAAATAAAAAAAAAGTCTTAGTTTTGGGGCTGTACAAAAACAACAACAAGAACAACAAAAGATGTATAGTTTGCTGACACCTCTGCTACAGTATGAGTTTCATGCATCCAAAACATGACTGGGAAATTTCTGGCAAAAAGACAGACGGTGAGAATTTAATTTATTTAGTCATGGAATTAAGACTGAAACAAGGATAGCAGTAAGTAGAGGAATAATTTGTAAATACTTTTAGTTCTGAAAATTGGAAATCTGTAATTATATACATGGGAGAAGGGACAGAAAAATAGAAACAACAAAATGACTATTACTGGGTGGTATAGATAATAGGGAAAGTCAAAGCATATCATTTAAAAGAAACACACCAGATAGTAAAAGATTACTGTGGAAAAAAGATAAAGAAAAAATTTTAAAATAAAAATAGATGCATTTATATACTCACATAAAGGTGAACATTAGAAATACCTTTATTTAGAATTAGAATTAGAATAAAAATATTACTAAAAAAATTTAAAACTAGAAATCACATAACAGCAGTGAAATATTTAATGTGTAATAGTATCTATTGAATAAGTTCAAGAGATCTATTGTACAACATCATCATTATAGCTAATAATTTATTGTATTCTTGAAAATTGCTGAGTGATTAAATGCTTTCAGTGTTTAATTTTTATGGATATATAATAGTTGTATATATTTATGGGGTATATGTGAAATTTGGATACAAGCTTATAATATGTAATAATCAAATCAGGGTAATGGGATATTTATTACCTTAGGCATTTATCATTTCTTTGTGTTAAGAACATGACAATTTCACTCTTCTAGTTATTTTGAAATACACAACAAACTGTTGTTAACTATAGTCACCTTATTGTGCTACAGAGCACTGGATCTCATTCCTTCTATCTAACTGTACTTACGTACCCATTAACCAAACCCTCTTTATGCCTCCCTTGACATTATCTTTCTCAGCCTCTAGTAATCATCCTACTCTCCATCTCCAGGAGATCAGGTTTTTTTTTTTTTTTGCAGCTTCTACATATAAGTCAGCACATGCAATATTTGTCTTTCTGTACCTGGATTATTTTGTTTAGCATAATGTCCCCCAGTTCCATCTATGTTGTTTAAAATGACAGGATTTCATTCTCTCTATGGTTGAATAATATTCCATTGTGTATATGTATTTCTTTAACCATTGATCCCATTTACGGACACTTAGGTTGATTCCATATCTTGGCTATAATGAATAGTGCTGCAATATACACAGTGGAGCAGATATCTCTTTGATATACTTATTTCCTTTCTTTTGGATATATATCCAGTGGTGGGATTGCTGGATCATGTGGAAGATTTGAGTAAGACCTCAATAGCCCAGGCAACCAAAGCAAAAATGGACAAGTGAGATCACATCAAGCTAAAAAGCTTCTGCACAGCAAAGGAAACAATCAACAAAGTTAAGAGACAACCCCTAAAGTGGGAGAAAAGAAAACTATTTGTCTGACAAGGGATTTATTTATAACCAGAATATACAAGGAGCTCAAACAACTCCATAGCAAAAATACCCCAAATAATCAGATTTTAAAATGGGCAGAAGATTTGAATAAACATTTCTCAAAAGAAACCACACAAATGGCCAACAGGGATATGAAAAAAACTTCAATATCTCTAATCATCAGAAAAATGCTACTCTGAGATATTATCAAAGCTACTCTGAGATATTATCACACCCCAGTTAAAATGGCTTTCATCAAAGACAGGCAATAACGAATGCAGGCAAAGATATGAAGGGAACTCTCCTACAGTGTTGGTGGGAATTTAAATTAGTACAGCCACTAAATTAGTACATTTTAGATGTTCTTACCACCAACAAATAATTATGTGAGGTAATGCATAAATTAATTAGCTTAACTTAGCCATTCCACAATGTATACACATTCCAGAATGACATGTTGTACACATTAAACATATATAGTTTTTATGAACTAAAAATAAATATATAAGAAAATAAGGATTCAAAGCAATGTTTCATAGTGATTTGGTCTTTTTTTAGCTGAGAGATCCATTAACAGTTTGATAGAGTAGGTAAAACACATGAACTCTAATGCTGTCATCTTTAAACCTTTCTTCCCACACTCAGGATTATTTTGAAAGTTCATTAATATAAATAAGTTGAATTGGAATGTTTAAAACTAGGGTATTTGGGAAGTAAAAGAAGTGAATTATAATTTACTTGAATGTTTTTTACAAAATGGCATATGATCTAACTTGAATTAAAATGCAACATTTAAAAATATAACTTCAAAAGAGACACGAATATTGATTCATCTCTTTCCAAGCATTGCAGATTACATCGTATCTCAGTAAAATCTTTATTTTATAGATATACAAAGATGAGTGAATGAGAATATAAAGAAAGTGAAATTTTGCCTTGGAATATCCAGTGAATATGAAAGATACTTTCTGCCATTGTCAGCTATTTAATTTTATCAAAATGTCTACCAAAACATTTATACCCTTCCTTAATTTACTATGTTCCCCAAAGGTCCCTGCACTCAAAAGCTTCAGCCAAGCAGTCACATATTTAGGAGAAGAAACCCATCATAGCCTATTCAAACTGACAAATAACTATGTAGCAGTAACATCCATATAAATCTTACAAGTGTCCATGCTTGTTGAATAAAATTCTATTTTATCATATATAAAAATATTAGTTGTGTAAAGTGTTAAATATTATATCATAGCTATGCAAATGTATTCTTCTAGAACATCCAACATGATAATGAGAAGTGAGGCCAGCTGGACTTTCTGGGTGGAGTGTGGACTTGGGGGACTTTTCTGTCTTACAAGAGGATTGTAAAATGCACCAATCAGGAACTTTTCTGTCTTACAAGAGGATTGTAAAGTGCACCAATCAGCTCTCTGTAAAACGCACCAATTCGCAGGATTCTAAAAGTAGCCAATTGCGGGGAGGAGTGAAAAAAGGGCACTCTGATAGGACAGAATCAGAACATGGAAGGGGCCAATTAGGGAATAAAAGCTGGCCACCCCCTGCCAGCAGCGGCAACCTGCTCGGGTCCCCTTCCACGATGTGGAAGCTTTGTCCTTTCACTCTTCACAATAAACCTTGCTACTGTTCACTTTTTGGGTCCGTGCCATCTTTAAGAGCTGTAAAACTCGAAGGTCCGTGGTTCCATTCTTGAAGTCAGTGAGACCACCAACCCACCAGCAGGAACCAACTGTGGACACAATAATGCTAAACGAAAGCCTAAAAATAATTTAACCCAAACATTAATTTACAGATTCACTCAAAGCAGAAGCTTAATTTATGCATATAAGTCAAGATGGTTCTCACATGACAGACAAGTGTTAAGCACAGTAAGCATGTGTTCATTTGGTTACTGTTGGAATGAATGGCAATATTTCAAGGTACAGCATTAGACAGAATCTTAGATATTTCAGTCTAAGCATGACTTTTTTTTCCAACAGAAAAATGAGAATGTGATGAGATAAAACCTGTTAAATGTTGTATAGATAGTTTAAGCCAGGGCCACATGCATTAGCAATATGTTATTTTTGTATAGCACTTTATTGTTTACAAACTTCTATAATATTAAATTGGAGCCTCCCAGCAATTTTGTTCAATATCTTAAAAATAATCATTCTAAGGAACCTATTACAGCCAAAGATTTTTTGCCTTACAGAAGTTAAATAACTTGGAATAAGTCACCTTACACATAAAAAAGTGCCAGGACTTGCCACCAGGATTTCCAAATCCAAAAAATGCAAATACCATTTTTTTATTAAGAAGCAGCCAAATGTCTTAAAACAAAAAGTACATTTAGTTTACTGTTAGACAAATATAGGCTTATGTCAAAAAATGACCATGAGAGAGATCATCTATCAACAATTGCATAGGAGTTATAAGTGATAATTTCCTCCTGAGATTAGCATAGGTATCTCCATACCTATGTTATCACAGTAACATCCATATCACAGTAACTCCATAGTTACTGTGATAATTAAAGTAAACAGTAGTAATTATTTCAAACAAATAACTCCCTATTCAATCCTTTTTCCACTACACAGATTGCCTCTCTGTGGTCTCCTCCCTTGGGAAGAAAAGTGATGAGTAGGATTTGAGAACTGATAACTTAATAAGAAAATGTAATAAAGCATATAGTAAAATATGGTAGCTTCTGGAGTGCATCTTGCACTTTTATCATGGAAGAGGAGATTTCTTGTATAATCCAAGATTTTAAACAATTCTTGGTAAAGCAGGAGTTTCATCCCATGGATGCCAGCAAAGAAGTTTGCTAAGATAGTTTTTATGTAACTAAGCACTCCAGGGTTGAAGAAACATGCATGCGTTTTGTTTAAATCCTGATGCACAAAGTAGCTAGAGCCTCTGAGTGCTGTGGCAAAGCGTAAAGTAGTTCCAGTAGTTCTGAACAGAAAAGACTACAGTTCCTATCTCTGCAGGGGAAGGCACACCATTCCTTCTACAGGATGGTATGAGAAGAACTCCCTCAAACTGAACTGTTCAAAAGAATGAGAGCTGCTGATATAGCAATAAGAAATATTTGAAATAATAGAAAGTAGCAGTCTAAATATTGGA
Source organism: Homo sapiens (assembly GCF_000001405.40). Lineage (NCBI taxonomy): Eukaryota > Metazoa > Chordata > Mammalia > Primates > Hominidae > Homo > Homo sapiens. Next base: position 102,987,812 of record NC_000006.12, on the reverse strand, counting down.
TATTAAATACATGAAAACATTAAATGTTTTCAGGATATAAAATATCTTAACACAATCAAGATACAAATGAGTTACATGTAAATAATCTGATATATGTTAATGTTCTTAATGTATAATGCTATTTTATAAATTTTATAAACATTATTTTCCCAATAGGAAAAAGATTTTGAAATGAACAAAATAGAAAAAAAGTCAAAATATTATTTATATGATAGAATAGTATATCATTAAAATTATGTTTCTAAGAGTAATTACACACACAATATAATTATAGGTAATTATAGGTAAACAACATATATACTATTTGATGTCAAATATATTTATATTCCAAAATACATTTGTATATACATATGTATATTATTAATATGCATGTGCAATTACATGAATGCACACATATTTTTGGGAAGAAATATAAAAAATATTAACCATTTCTAGATATTGATATGTGGATATTTTGCATTTTTCCCATAATTTAAATTTCTGGTTGAAAAATTAATTAAAACTTGCAGGCTTATATAATTTTCAAATATTTTATAATAAGCATGTGTTATTCTTGTCAGAAAAGTACAACTTATGAAGGTACATAAAAGACAACATATTACATAGCTTAAATATATATTATTTTCTTATAGTCAATAGTAAATATTAGTTTCACTTTATTTAATACTATAAAAAAGTGAGAAAAATAATTATTTGTAATACTCTGGTGCATTATGGTAGAATTTGTTTTTTGCAAAAGATTGGCCACTGTGTATTTTAAAACATAACTAGCCTTGGGTTAGTAATTATAAATTATAAGGTAGTAATGAGAAAGATTTCTTAAGTATTGTTAGTTTATCTAAGTGCATTATATAAACATTACTTGATGTTTAAGGAAAATAACTTCAAAAAGTCTATGTTATCAAACAGTTTCAAAATAATAGTTTAAGAATTTTTAAATAAAGGATTTATCAAGACCAAAAGAAATCAAAGGCAAAGCAGGTAAACTAACATAAACAAAATGCTCCAGTACTCGGTCATGTTTATCTTCCATAGAAGTCTCTCAATTTTTACAAGACGATACACTGAAAGGGAAAACAGAGTCTCAAGAATGGCACTGATAACACAACTTATCGCAACTGAGTGGAGTCGAGCAAATAACATGATTGGATCATTGGTGCCTGAATTCTAACAATGCTGCTGCCATCATGTTTATGAGAATGGAACTTAAATCCAAGGCAACTTGTATTCAAATTCATATATGAAAATATATTGGCTTGGATTATGATTTTTATTTCAAAAGATATTTAGTGCTATGTACTATAACATTGTGATAAACATTTCAAAAAGTGATTCTGATTTCTGCCCTTTATAATGATGAAATTTACTATCTGTTTTTCTGTTTATCTAATTTACATAAACATGCAGTTTAAAGACAAACAGCTTAACTGACCTCATTGTTAAATAATATACTAAGTTTACTCATTGAAAGTAAAATAAAAACTTGAACTCATTATTTTGGTTTACTGTGTAGCATATTTCAAGTTTCAGTATCACATGAATGTATCAGGCTAAAAATATACAGGTTTTGTTTCTACTTCACACTCTGCTTTTATTTCCATCACTATATTACTAATACCCTATGTTTTACTTCTAAATACAAATAAAACAAAGAACAGAAAGTTTAATTCACATTCCCAAGACACAGAAACAAACTACAAACTTAATAAACTATAAACTTCAAAAATTGTTTGTTTTTTTATTATAGTTTTGTTATACACACACACACACACACACACACACACACAGCCTTACCATTACTATTCGTTGACTACCAACCTGACCATATACCTTTTCTCTCTTAGTCTGTTTCTTCACCTGTATAACAAAGGAATTACTTATTTCATTTTTAACAGTTTGGCAGTTTTTCTTATAAAATTAAACACACACTTATCACATGACCCAGCAATCCCACTCGTAGGTATTGACTGATGTATTAGTTTCCTATGACTGCTGTTACAAATTACCACAAATTAGATAGCTTAAAGCAATCGCAAGTATTATCTTACAGATCTATAAATCAGAATTTAGACATGCAACTCTCACTGGGCTAAAATCAAGGTGTTAGAAGAACTGCATTTCTTTCTGGGGTTTCCAAGGAAAAACATATTTTCTTGACTTTTTTAGCTTCTAGGGAATGTCTGTATTCCCTGACTCTCTTATCTTCAAATCTATGAATGGCAAGTCAAGTTATTTTCAAAGTGCCATTTCTCTGCTTCTCTACTTATTTTTAGTTGAGAAATAATAGTTGTATACATTGTGAAGTATGATGTGATATTTTCTTGCTTATGGATATCATAGAATGATCAAGTCAAATTAACTAATATATACATCATCTCATATACTTATCATTTCTTTGTAGTAAGAACTGTTAAAATCCTCTTTTGGTTCTTGCAAAATATATGATACATTATTATTAACTATGGTGACCATGCTGTGCAATAGATCACCAGAACTGATTCCTCCTGCCTAACTGAAACTTTCTACACTTTGGTCTCTCCTTTCCCTGCCCTACCACCTCTCCACTAGACTCTGATAATCCTCATTCTACTCTTTTTTCCTCAGTATGACTTTTTAAAGAATCCTCATATAATTAGTCATGAGGCCCATAAAGAAGTTTTGGCTAACAATGGACCACATGTATGATAGTGATCCCACGAGATTGTAATACCATATTTTTACTGCTTTGTCTATGTTGAGATATGTCTATATATACAAATACTTATCATTGTGTTCAAATTGCCTATAGTATTTAGTACAGTAACATGCTGTACAGGTTTGTACCCTATAAGCAATTCAAGCTTGTCAAACCCATGGCCCGTGCTTCACGTAGCCCAGGACAGCTTTGAATACAGCCCAACACAAATTCGTAAATTCGTAATCTTTCTTAAAACACTATCAGATTTCTGTACAAACCTTTTTTTTTTTTTTTTTTTTTGCTCATTAGCTATGGTTCGTGTTAGTGTATTTTACGTGTGGCCCAACTTCTCTTCTAATGTAGCCCATGGAAGCCAGAAGATTGAACACCCTGCTTGTTGTAGGCTATACCATCTAGGTTATGTAAGTACACTGTATGATGTTCCCACGTATCACATAGGCAATGTATTTCTCAGAATGAATTTTAGTTCTTTAGAGATGCATGACTGTAGATAATCAGTGATTTCCTTTTGCTTACTTGAATTTTAAATTCCAATAAAACATAAGCAATTGTTGCTGTGTAAGCATAAAATACATCTTTAATTTAGATTCTCTTCTCTTACAAAGTGAACAATTTCTCCATCAGTAACAATGTGACAAATACTTATGTTCTATTAGTTAATGATTATAGTACACACACCTGAAATAATTGCTCAAGTATCTGATATTTATAGTAGTGGAATTTTTATCAGATAGAAATCTTCCCTATTTGTTAACAAGAGCCTAAGAATTTTCTCATGTGATCATTTTAATAAAGGCTTCCAAAAAGAAATATAGATTATATTTGAATTTCTAACATTTTATAAATAATTTTGAATACTAGTTAGCTTCTAAGGAGGATCTGACATGCATTATTAAAAAGTAGCAAGAAAGAGCAATTATTATTAATTAATCCCACCAAATCTAGTTTAGATACATATGGTCTAATCTAAGTGGAAAATAGTTCTGGGCCTCATTACAACACATGAATATTTATCCTCACTAGATTGTTTCCTCTGTTTACTTTGTGGAATAGAGAAGAGACATGCAAATCTAGAAATCATTCTCATCTAGGAAGCCAAAATTAAGTTTAGAATTGTCTATTGGTCTAGCCTAGTAATAATTTTTCCTAAAGTTGTGTATGTGCCCCTATTGCACTGCTATCTAACCACTTACACCGTTACATCATTCAAAACTAAATATGGAGTCTACTATTTGGAACTCTGTTAAAAATAATTAGGCAAGCAATTCCAAAATTCAAATTTAGCACAATTATTCTCAAGAAAAAACACCCATAGCTAAATTTCTTCACAGTATTTAACACTAATGCTTCCTTCAGATCTAAAGGAAAGTATAATTTTAAAAATCAAAAAAAAATGAACAGAGAAAAGAATTTAATAGTAATCTTATACTCTGTGTTTGGTTTTTAGCAGTTTGGATGTGATAAACTTAGGTATGGATTTAATCTATCCATGCATCTGATTGACTGGTTGATTGCTTAATTGTCATTTGCTCTGTTAAGTGCTCTCTGAGCTTCTTAAGACCACTGTCAGTAATTTGGGAATATTTTAAGTCATTGTTTGATTCAAATACTTCTTCAACTATATTTTTTTCTTTCTTTTCCTTCTGAGATGAAATTTACACTTAAGCCAGACGAATTCTACTGGTTTGGGATGTTCTAATCTTTTTTCACTCTATTTTCCCTTTGTTTTCAATGCAGTCAAATTCTATTGACCTGTCTCCATGCTCACTAATTCTTGCTCAGCTGTGCTAGTCTACTAATAAGCCCCTTGAATATATTTTTTCCTGTCTGTTACTGAGTATTTTTTATTTCTATCATTTCTATTTGATTTTTTATTATAGTTTTCATACCTCTCCTGAAATTACCCAATTGATTTTCTACATGCCCCTTCGTTCCCATTAGAGACTTTAACATATAAATAATAGTTATTTCAAATTACCTGTCTGACAATTCCAACATCTATTTCAAACATGAGTCTGCTTCTGATGATTTCTTTGTCTCTTAGGAGTGTGTCCTTTTGTTTGTCCTTTAATATGTATGAATGCTTTATAGAAAGCCAAGCATTTGTGTAGGGCAATAGAGATCGCAATAAATATATTTTATGCCTTAAAACAGGTATGCCTTTTCTTCACTTGGATTTAAGACAGGGGCTGAGTTAATTTACTAGGAGTTAGATTGGGTTTGCAGTTTGATATTGTTATGGTTATTCTCAGTGCACCCCAGGTTTAAGTTCCTGTTGTAATTTCTTGTGTTAATGATAGGGGCTGATTTACCAGAAGGTTGTTTTCTTTTCCATTGTATATTCTACCCTCAGCTTTAGGTCTTTCTATTTTGCTGAGACTCTGAGAGGGTCTGGTTATAGCACTGAACATTACTTGAAATCTTCTTAGATGGCATTGGTGGGCATTCTCTGTTATTCTCATTCAGCCTTAGTCTTGAGCATGCACCATGTTCTTGGATCTCAGGATTATGGCCTTCTTAATATTTTTCCCCCTGGCTAATGTTCTGAGCTCTGTACTTTTCTTGCTCCTTCCACAGAGGTAGAGAGTTAATGCTTTATTTTTTTTTTCCCTATCTGCAATAAATTTCAGCATTGTCCTAAACCCAACAATGCTTGTTGCCATTCTTCCACAGATTAAGAATTTAGTTTTACAAGAGCGACAGGGGAGGGGATTTGAGGGGAGTTTTGTGCCCCTGCCGATGTGCCTGCTTTTTCTCTCCCCATGGCCAGTTCCATGAAGGAGACTTTCTCAGAACACATCCAGGTGATAAGTGGCCAGTGGGGTTTGGAAAGAAAAAGCCTGCAAGGAGGTACAAAATCCCCCTATATCTGAGAAACCTAGAGGCTTTACCCAATCTTGTCAGCAAACTCTTGGCCTACACCAATTCAGAAACCATTCTAGCTAAATTTAGCTGTGTCTTGCCCAGGAAAGTGTAAAGGCAAATACAATTTAAAAATAGGAAGCTTGAAAATAAGGCAAAAGACCCTCCCTCTAATTTTCCTAGAGCATTTACCTTAGAAAACTTGTAATTTTAAGTTATCTCTGTGTCTTTTTGAAATGTGTATAAATCTTTTTAAAAGTTCAATAAGCCTCTTGACAGCTTAATGACACAGGAATGTCTTTCTCAAGGACCTGAGAACCATCTCTTTGAAATGTAATTATCAAGGAAGATAAAGTCCCTTTCCCCTAATTTCTGTGGGAGGAGAAAAATCTAACTTCAGAGCATGCCCCTCTCAAGTTGCAAAACCACTGCCATCATAAAGATATGAAATGTTTATTCTTTCTTTCCGGTAAAGCTAATTAACTAACACAGGTCATCACTTCAACTGCAAAATGAATTTAGGATGGACTACATCTGACAAATGGTGCTGTCAAGTCCCCTTACATGGGGATTAGTTATTGTTTGTCTTGAGAACACATATATAATGGATTGTATCTGCTTGATTTAACAAACAGTTGAGATTTTTTCTGTGTTTGCAACCTCTTGGCAGATTGCTTGTGATTAATAACTAATTCTAGTCTAATGCTTATTCAATAAGAAAATTGTTTTCCTTCTATTTTACTTGTGTGGCGAGATTTTCTGGTTTAAGAGATTTTATCTTTAATTACATTTTCCCAACAAATCCAGTCCTCATGTATAGTCATTTCTTGCAGATGATTGTCTCTCATTGACTTTTTGACCAGTCAGTTGACCTATGGCTTCAATATTCTGATAGGAGCAATAAAAGTCATAAACTTTCTGCTTGTCCAGCTTTTCTTCTAGTAATATGAACATTGTTCATAATCCACACCCCAATTCCCACCCAGTGAAAATAGGAAGCACCTTAATGGCTATTTAAATTCAAATAATTGAAGAGGAAAGGAGAAATGGAAGAAAAAACTATTTTTTTTTTAAAAATAGAGGCATGGCCTAGCACAGTGGTTCATGTGCTGTAATCCCAGCACTTTGGGAGGCTGACGTGGAAGGATCCCTTGAGCCTAGGGATTCAAGACTAGCTTGGGCAACACAGTGAGAATTTGTCTCCACAATAAAATAAAATGAAATATAATAGGGGCTCATTCAGATTGTCTTAGTAATGGAATTTTGTAATAAAGACCCAGACATAAAGCAAACAGAAATCTCAGCCACCTAGCCAGAATTCAGAGTATACAACCAGGCCTCACCAAGAGAATACATCTTACATTAGTTGATTTCATATATTGTTAATGATCTAAAGTGGCTTTAGGAAGAAAGTCATCCTTTTGGGACCCCAGGAGCAGTGTTTTATTGATTACTCATCATTACTTGATTCTATTTCAAACTATCTTTATTTTTACCTCACCTATAGCTCATATTCTCTTGGGTAAGTATTTTTGTGCTTTTTCTTTATATATTTGGCTCGCTCCTGTTCTTTATGTCATATCACCAATTCAGACTTTCAGAGTTCAGAGAATATGACAGGCACAGCTAATTATCTCAGCCTGTTTAGACATTTTTTTTTTCTCCAGACAACCTTAAAAGCTATTCTGCTATAGATCAACTGTTCTGAGTAAAGCATTGAAGCTAAGAAAAATTTTACTGAGTCGTGTCCAGAGAGACCCTCACTCAATAAGTGAAAATGTGACACTATCTCCTTAGAACTGGACTGAGTACAGCAAATAGAGCTAGTGTCTTTTAATATGTGCAAAAAAAGTATGTTTAAGAATAAGCTTTAATCACACCCAACCACTACAACCCAATCAAGAATTAACCCCTCCTTGGACTTCTCTGTGCATGCACTCAGTTTGCTAGACATTATTAGAAAAATCGAAATTACTTCAAATGTCGACATACATTGCTTTAATGCCCATTGTATTCTCAATGCAGCCATTCTTCTGTTTTCCTATATCATCTCTCTCTGTCTTACAAGTGGCTATTCAAACTGTTCAAATCATCTAAATCCTATGCATACCAAGTTACCTTCATTTTGAAAAGATTTCACCTCCTTACATACAGCACATAGACACAACCAGATGGAAAATGACTTAACATCTTGATATGAATCCTAAAAATTTAGGGCCTGAATTCATCCTTTCCACATCTCTTCTTGTGGAATAAGAGATATAATGGATAAAATAAAACAAAATAGAAAATTTTCCTAGTTCTTATAGCTACTCATTCCATTTATACTTCATACTCTTTCATTTTCTGGATCGATGATTAATTGATTATTCCATTTCATTTATTTTTAAAATTTATTCACTAGCTTCTTTCATTTATATGAACTTAATTTTCTCCCACTAACACAGAAGAATTTACTTGATTACCTGACCATCTGCTGTACTACATTGCCTCTTTCTTACATTCATAGAAAACTTTCTGAAAGATTTAACTTTTAATTTTTGATATCCATAATTATTTGTTTCCGCAAACTTCTGTAAACCTTATACTTTCCAAGAAAATTTTTATGACCAACATGACGGTTTCCTTTCTTTTGACTAAATCCAATAAACATTTATCTGTTACCAGGTTATTTAAACTCCAGTGACACTATCGGACATTTACTGTTTGTTTTTGAACTTGGTTTGGCTCTCAATATTTGTTTTTTTTTTTCATATACAAATTCTTCTTTAATTTTTTCAAAGGTTATTGGGGTACAGGTGATGTTTGGTTACATGAGTAAGTTCTTTGGTGGTGATTTGTGAGATTGTGGTGCACCCATAACCTGAACAGTATATACTTCAACTTATTTGTAGTCTTTAACCCTTGCCTCCCTCCCATCCTTCCCCCAACTCCCCAAAGTCCATTGTGTCATTGTTATGCCTTTGCATCTTCGTAGCTTAGCTCCCATATATCAGTGAGAAAATACGATATTTGATTTTCCATTCCTGAGTTACTTCACTTAGAACCTCATCCAGGTCTCTGGGAATGTTGTTAATTCATTCCTTTTTATGGCTGAGTAGTATTCCATCGTATAAATATACCACAGTTTCTTTATCCACTTGTTGATTGATGGACATTTGGGTTGGCTTCAAGGTTTCGCAATTGTGAATTGTGCTGCTGTAAAAATGTGTGTGCAAGTATCTTTTTTTGTATAATGATTTCTTTTCCTCTGGGTAGATACTCAGTAGTGAGATTGCTGGATCAAATGGTAGCTCTACTTTTAGTTGTTTAAGGAATCTCCACACTGTTTTCCACAGCGACTGTACTAGTTTACATTCCCACCAACAGTGTAGAAGTGTTCCTTGATCACCATATCCACACCAATATCTACTGTTTTTTGATTTTTTCATTATGGCCATTCTTGCAGGAGTAAGGTGGTATTGCATTGTGGTTTTGATTTGTATTTCCATGATCATTAGTGATGTTGAGCATTGTTTCATGTGTTTGTTGGCCATTTGTATATATACTTTTGAGAATGGTCTATTCATGTCCTTAGCCCACTTTTTGATGGAATTGTTGGGTTTTTTTCTTACTGATTCGCTTGATCATTGTAGATTCTGGATATCAGTCCTTTGTCAGATGTATAGATTGTGAAAATTTTTTCCGACTATGTGGGTTGTCTGTTTACTCTGCTGACAGTTATTTTTGCCATGCAAAAGCTCCTCAATTTAATTAAGTCTGAGCTATTTATCTTTGTTTTTATTGCATTTGCTTTATGGGTTCTTGGTCATGAAATCCTTGCCTGAGCCAATGTCTAGAAGGGTTTTTCCAATGTTATCTTGTAGAATTTTTATAGTTTCATGTCTTAGATTTAAATACATAATCCATCTTGAGTTAATTTTCGTATAAGGTGAGAGAAGAGGATCCAGTTTCATTCTCCTACATGTGGCTAACCCATTATCCCAGCACAATTTGTTGAAAAGGTAGTCCTTTCCCCACTTTATTTTTTTGTTTGTTTTGTCGAAGATCAGTTGGCTGTAAGTATTTGGGTTTATTTCTGGGTTCTCTATTCTGTTCCATTGGTCTATGTGACTATTTTGATACCAGTACCACGCTGTTCTGGTGACTATGGCCTTATATTTTGAAATCAGGTACTGTGATGCCTCCAGATTTGTTCTTTTTGTTTAGTCTTTCTTTGGCTATGCAGGTTCTTTTTTGGTTCCATATGAATTTTAGAATTGTTTTTTCTAATTCTGTGAAGAATGATGCTGGTATTTTGATAGGGATTGCATTGAATTTGTAGATTGCTTTTGGCAGTATGGCCATTTTCACCATATTGATTCTACCCATCCACGAGCACAAAATGTGTTTTCATTTGTTTATGCCTTCTATGACTTCTTTCAGCAGTGTTTTGTAGCTTTCCTTTAGAGGTCTTTTGCCCCTTTGGTTAGGTATATTCCTAAGTATTTTTTTTTTGCACCTATTGTAAAAAGGATTGAGTTCTTAATTTGATTCCCCACTTGGTTGCTGTTGGTGTATAGAAGAGCTACGGATTTGTGTGCATTACTCTATTATCCGGAAACTTTGCTGACTTCTTTTATCAGTTCTAGGAGCTTTCTGGAGAAGTCTTTAGGATTTTCTAGGTAAACGATTATATTGTTAGCAAACAGTGACAGTTTGACTTCCTCTTTACTGATTTGGATGCCCTTTATTTCTTTCTCTTGTCTGATTGCTCTGGCTAGGACCTCCAGTACTATGTTGAAGAGTGGTGAGAGCTGGCATCCTTTTCTTGTTGCAGTTCTCAGAGGGAATGCTTTCAACTTTTCCCCATTCAGTATTATGTTGGCTGTGGGTTTGTCATAGATGGCTTTTATTACATTGAGGTATGTCCCGTGTATGCCGATTTTGCTGAGAGTTTTAATCATAAAGGGATACTGGATTTTGTTGAATGCTTTTTCTGCATCTATTGAGATAATCATGTGATTTTTGGTTTTAATTCTGTTTATGTGTTGTATCACATTTATTGACTTGCATATGTTAAACCATCTGTGCATCCCTGGTATGAAACCCACTTGATCATTGTTGATTATCTTTTTTATATGTTGTTGGATTCGGTTAGCTAGTATTTTGTTAAAGGTATTAGCATCTATGTTCATCAGGTATATCAGTCTGTAGTTTTCATTTTGGTTAGGTCCTTTCCTGGTTTTGGCAATAGGGTGATACTGGCTTCATAGAATGATTTAGGGAGGGTTTCCTCTTTTTCTATCTTGTGGAATAATGTCAAAAGTATTGCTACCAATTCTTCTTTAAATGTCTGATAGAATTCTTCTGTAAATACATCTGGTCCTGGACATTTTTTTTTTGGTAATTTTTAAATTACCATTTAAATCTTACTGCTTGTTATGGGTCTGTTCAGGGTATCTAATTCTTCCTGTTTTAAGTTAGAAGGATTGTATTTTTCCAGGAATTTATCCATGTCTTCTAGGTTTTCTAATTTATGTGTGTAAAGGTGTTCATAGTAGCTTTGAATGATCTTTTGTATTTCAGTGGTGTGAGTGGTAATATCTCCTGTTTCATGTCTTAATGAGGTTATTTGGGTTTTCTCTCTTCTTTTCTTCGTTAATTTTGCTAATGGTCTATCTTTTTTTCTTTATCTTTTCAGAGAACCAGCTTTATGTTTCATTTATCTTTTGTATTTTTTGTTTGTTTCAATTTCATTTAGTTCTGCTCTGATATTGGTTATTTCTTCTGCTGGGTTTAGGTTTGGTTTGCTCTTGTTTCTCTAGTTCCTTGAGGTGTGACCTTAGATTGTCTGTTTGTGGTATTTCAGTCTTTTTGATGTAGATATTTAGGGCTATAAACTTTCCTCCTAGCACTATCTTTGCTGTATCCCCGAGGTTTTGACAGGTTGTGCTATTATCGTGGTTCAGTTTGAAGAATTTTTAAATTTCCATCTTGATTTCGTTTTTGACCCAATGCTCATTCAGGAGCAGGTTATTTAATTTGCATAAATACATGCAAAACCATGTATTTGCAGGGTTTTGAAGGTTCCTTTTGGAGTTGATTTCCAGTTTTATTCCACTGTGGTCTGAAAGAGTGCTTTATATAATTTCAATTCTCTTAAATTTATTACAGCTCATTTTGTGGCCTACCATCATATAGTCTATCTTGTAGAAAGTTCCAGGCACTGTTGAATAGAATGTGAATTCAGTGTTTGTTGGATGAAATGTTCTGTGTATACATGTAAAGTCCATTTGTTCCAAGGTATAGTATAAATCCATTGTTTCTTTGTTGACTTTCTGTCTTGATAACCTGTCTTGTGCTGTCAGTGGAGTAATGAAGTCCCCCACTATTACTGTGTTCCTGTTTATCTCATTTCTTAGGTCTATTAGTAATTATTTTATAAATTTGGGAGCCACTGTGTTAGGTGCATATATGTTTAAGATTATGATATTTTCCTGTCAGACTTTTACCATTATATAATGTACCTCTTTGTCTTTTTTAACTGCTGTTGCTTTAAAGTTTGTTTTCTCTGATATAAGAATAGCTATCCCTGCTCACTTTTGGTGTCCATTTGCATGAAATGCCTTTTTCCATCCCTTTACTTTTAAGTTTATGTTAGTCCTTATGTGTTAGGTGAGTCCCCTGAAGGTAGCAGATGGTTGCAGAGTTCTTATCCATTCTGGAATTCTGTATCTTTTAAGTGGAGTATTTAGGCCATTTACATTCAATGTTAGTATTGCGATGTGAGGTAGCACAGAATTAATCTTGCTATTTGTTGCCTGTGTACCTTGTTTTTGTTTGTTTGTTTTGTTTTGTTGTTTCTGCTTTCTATATTGTATTTATACAATATAATACAAAATATTATATTGTATTTATAAAATATAAATTGTATAAATGTATACATTTTATTATACAGGACCTATAAAAGGTCCTGTGAAATTTATGTTTTAAAGAGGCTCTGTTTTGATGTATTTCCAGGATTTGTTTTAAGATTTACAGCTTCTTTTAGCAGTTCTTGTAGTCGTGGGTTGGTAGTGGCGAATTCTCTCAGCATTTGTTTAACTGAAAAATACTGTATTTTTCCTTCATATATAATGTTTAGTTTCACTGTATGCAAAATTATTGGCTGATAATTGTTTCATTTGAGGAGGCTGAAGACAGGGCCCCAATCCCTTTAGCTTCTAGGGTTTCTACTGAGAAAACTGCTATTAATCTGATAGGTTTTCCTTTATAGGTTACCTGGTGCTTTTGTCTCACGCTCTTAAGATTCTTTTCTTCATCTTAACTTTAGATAGCCTGATGACAACGTGCCTAGGCAATGGTCTTTTCGTGATAAATTTCGCAGATGTTGTGTTTCTTGTATTTGGATGTCTAGGTCTCTAGCAAGGTGGGGGAAGCTTTCCTCAATTATTCCCCTAAATACGTTTTCCAAACTTTTAGATTTCTCTTCTTTTACAGGAACACCAATTATTCTTAGATTTGGTGGTTTAACATAATCCCAGACTTCTTGGAGGTTTTATTCATGTTTTCTTATTCTTTTTCTTTGTGTTTGTTGGATTGGGTTAATTCGAAGACCTTGTCTTTGAACTCTGAATTTCTTTCTTCTACTTGATCAATTCGATTGCTGAGACTTTCCAGAGCATCTTGCATTTCTATAAATGCCAATGTTTCCTGAAGTTTTGATTGTTTTTTTTTCTTTATGTTATCTATTTCCTTGAATATTTCTCCCTTCACTTCTTGTATTGTTTTTTAGATTTCCTTGTATTGGGCTTTGCCTTTCTCTGGTATCTCCCTGATTAGATTAATAACTAACTTCCTGAATTCTTTTTCAGGTAAATCAGGGATTTCTTCTTGGTTTGGATCCATTGCTGGTGAGCTAGAGTGATATTTTTGGGGGTGTTAAAGAGTCTTGTTTTGTCATTTTACTAGAGTTGATTTTCTGGTTCCTTCTCATTTGAGTAGGCTCTGTTAGAGGGAAGGTCTAGGGCTCAAGGCTATTGTTCAGATTCTTTTGTCCCACGGGTGTTCCCTTGAAGTAGTACTCTCCCCCTTTTCCTATGTATGTGGCTTCCTGAGATCTTAACTGCAGTGATTGTTATCTCTCTTCTGGGTCCAGCCACCCAGCAAGTCTACAAGGTACTGGGGGTTATCTGCACAGAGTCCTGTGATGTGAACCATCTATGGGTCTCTCAGCTCTCAGGATACCAGCACTTGTTCTGGTGGAGATGGCAGGGGAGCAAAATGAACTCTATGAGGGTTCTTAGCTTTGGTGGCTTAATGTTCTATTTTTGTGCCGGTTGGCCTCCTGCTAGGAGGTGGCACTTTCCAGAGAACATCAACTGGGGTAGTATGAAGAGGAACTGGTGGTTGGCAGGACCCTAGAACTCCCAAGAGTGCATGCCCTTTGTCTTCAGTTACCAGGGGAGGTAGGGAAGGACCATCAGGTGGGGGCAGGGCTAGGCATGTCTGAGCTCAGACTTTCCTTGGGCAGGTCTTGCTGCTGTGAGGATTTGGGGTGTCTTCCGGGTGCTGCAGGAGCAGTCTGCTTCTTTCAGAGGGTCTGTGGGTCCTCTCAGGATTCCTGATTTGTTCTTGCAGTCATTCCAGATTCTTTAGTCACTGTGGGAGGCTGTTTTCCACCACCACACTTCCAATGCCTCTTCTTGTACCTCTCTGGGGAACCCTTGAAGAGCTGCTGTGGGCAGTCGGTGTTGGACTGCCGACATAGCCACCTCAGCAGCAGCTACCAATCCCAGGTTCCACTGGCCGCATGTGCTTCTGCCTCTCAATTTTTGAACACTACTTCCTAGTCTCTTGAAATTTCTCTTAATTTGCCCTCGAATGTAATCTTTCATTAATCTAAACAGGTTCATCTCATTCATAGCTTTATCTTTGTTAACACACTATATTCTGATTGACTTTCAAACTAATATTCCATTCTTGATTTTTTTTCTGGAATTTATGACCCATTAAACTTCCTATTAGACAGTTCTTTGTGGATGTCCTACAGGCTGCTAATGACTGTATTCATACCCAAATATTGTATATGTCACCTAAATCTCTTCCTTCTCTTCTCTTTCCAAACTTACAGAATGCTATTACTACTTTAGTTTCTTTCCAAGTCAATTACATAAGCATCACCCTAAACTTCTTCACATTCCTTTCCCCTCCTCAAAGAAACTACCAACCCCATGATAATCTTCTGCTCCCCAAATTGTATACAAATATTATCAACCTGTTTTCTAGTAGTCAATATTGTCCCCCATACTACTAAACTGCTACTAGCAATTGCAATCCTTTATTTGTTACAATGTTATCCTTTGAATGATAGATTTCCAATGCTGGAAGAAAAATCTAAAAGCTTCTTAACTTAAACTTAAGACATATAAAGTCCTTTATAATCAGCTCTGTATTCTCTGTTCAAATGAATTCATGTTTTGATTCTGTCCTCAAATTCTACCTTCTGTCATTTCAAATAACAGATGTCCTTTCTTCTGTGCCTTCCCCTTGTCTACTTGTTAATTTCTGTGTTTGAAAGCTCTTCATAGGCCTCTCTCCCTCGTAACAGGTTAAATCTTACCCTACAGGTTCATGATGCTTAAATACTTGTTTGTGTATCTTCCTATGTTCTTATAAAAATTATCTTTATTGAGGAAATGAATATGTTTTATTCACTGTATTTCTAAAGCTTATAATAGTACTATTTGATGAATAAATAGGTTCTTACTTTTATAGAGATGAAAAAGATAGACAGAATAAGTATGGCTTTGATATATAAACATGTAAATATAACTTGAATATATTTTATCTATTTGCTTCATAGATTTTTCTTGTAAAAACATACAATTTATTTTTTATAAAAATATCAATTAGCAAACTCCATTAATTAAAATTATTTCTTTTAGGTCCTATCAGAGAAAATGAATATCCAAGGAAATTTTTGGAAATATTTTAATTTAGAATATTTAATTTTAGTATTTCTAAAAATACATGAAATGTACCTACTATTGACTAAATCATCTTTTTCTCATTAATATGTTTCAATGTTTTTTTGTTTGTTTGTTTTTGAGATGGAGTCTCGCTCTGTCACCCAGGCTGGAGTGCAGTGGCGCGATCTCGGCTCACTGCAACCTCCGCCTCCCAGGTTCATGCCATTCTCCTGCCTCAGCCTCCCGAGTAGCTGGGACCACAGGCACTCACCACCAGATCTGGCTAATTTTTTGTATTTTTTAGTAGAGATGGGGTTTCACCGTGTTAGCCAGGATGGGCTCGATCTCCTGACCTCGTGATCCGCCTGCCTTGGCCTCCCAAAGTGCTGGGATTACAGGCGTGAGCCACCACGTCCGGCCCATGATTTTTTTTATAGTGAAGATTTGAGGTGAGTAAATTTTATAGGCCCATACATTTATTTTGGCTTTCTGTTGTCTGATTTTTGTTGTTTTTGTTGTTGCTTTTGTTTAAATGTTCGTATCATAAAAAGCAGAGAACAATCATCTCATGTACTCCTACCTATACATAAGCCACTTCAGAAATATTAGAATCAAATCCTTCAGATGCTATAGTTTTTGTAACTATAATCATCCTGTGATGTATTTGACATATTAAACACCATGAAAAAATATAAAATATTTCAATTATAGCTATAGACAAATAGCCTTCTCAAATAAACATCTTATTGAATGATATATATTATAAGATTTTGTTACATTCACGCTGTCACTTTCTTCATCCACCATGTTATACATAACTAATGTGGATTTTAAAAAATAGGATCTGGGACTGTGGTGGTTTTAATAAGATTAAATGGTTTAGGTTTCAGATACGAGTATCTTCTCAGGATTGTGATGGCAAAGGGCTGAGTAATTTACTATAGGTTAATGGACATATAATAGAAAGACAGACAACTGGATGTGCAGACGACAGCGGCAGAATCAGTGGACTGGTCATATGTTAGGGTTCTGGCAAGTGTCTAGTTTCCAGGAATCCTTGAAAACTTATAATGTCACTCCAGTTACAATGTTAACCCAGTTGTGGAAGATTGTTTAATGTTCTAAAACTGAACAGGTTTCTCAAAAGATAGACAAGAAATAGTAAAATATACAGATGGACAAAACTGAGTGGAATTTTTTTTCTACTATATCATGCTAAATTCATTTTAAAAACACATTATAAAGTATAGTAAGAAAATTATTAATTTAGTGATATAAAAATGTTTAGAATCTTGTATATTTTACAGTGGTAACAACAAGAGATTTTCCTTGAAGATATTTCAATGACAAAAAATTTTATGTATATACTATATAAATGACATCACTGAGCACAACTGATGTTTAAGAAAAACTCTTTGTTGCTTAAGAATAGCAATTTTTCCTCTACTATCACCATCAAAAATAGCAACCACACATTTCTATATACTTATCACATTTATGATCCACTGTTATGACAGATAAATAAAATATGTGACCCTGAGAACAGCTGATTTTCAAACACAGTATAATAACAGGGTTTTGTTTTTCTGAAAACATTTATATACAATTATTTATAGCATTGGAAAATGTCATAAATATGTGAAAAACTGTTATAAATAGTGGAAAACTGTTGTAAACAATAGTATGCATAACTAAAATTGCATTTATTAATTAAGGAGATGTTATCACCAATTTTGGTTTATTAATAGTATAGAAGGACAGGTGCTGGGTATGTTATCAAATCAGAGAATAAGAAAGCTTGTTTGTAGTTTGGTTCATTGATTTTGTATTGACCTAAATATCAGAGAAATGATTATAATATTGGATATTTTCCAAGAACCATTAATTACCCACAGATTCTAGGTTTGATGATGATGGCAAGGTGTAACTAGATATCTTCTGAACATTTGTCATATATGTAAACTATTTCATATATTTAAAGAGTAAAATAAAGATGAAATCAACTAATTTCCATTTTCAGGGAATCAATTGATTTGTTTACAAATGTATGCAGAAAATCCAAACTTGCTGGTGTTTACTGATTTATTCTTCTCTTTCGTACACTTACAAGGAGGGTAAAACTCATAGGCCCAAGGAAAAATGAGAGAATCAGGAAAAAGGAAAACATTATGAATTTACAGAAATAACTATACTGAAGAATATCTATCTGCTTTCTATTGCTCTGCTGAATGAAAACAGCTAAGAAGTAACCTAAGTGTAATAAAAGAATGATGCCTACTGAGGCTTCAGTAGTTAAGATCAAATGGTGGTGATTCACTGACACCATATAATGAAAAGAGATGATCAGAAATCATTATCCACAGTGGGAATAGATTAGATCTTTTATTTTATCTTATATAAGTAAAAGAAGAGAGAAAATGTCTATTGTAGGCAATTCATTTCAATTCTCTTTTTAATTATAAAAGCAATATATTCTAGAATGATATAATTACACTGTGTAAAGAAAAAGAAAATCACATTAAATCAATTTTTCAAGTAGAAGACAATGTTAAAGTCTTGGAATATTTCTTGTAAGCATGTTTAGGTAATTTTGGTTACTTGAGTTTATCCATCTAATATCTATGTACCTATTTATCATCTATCATTTGTTTGTTCGTCCATCCTACTGTTTTTATTCTAACTGCCTATAACAAAGCCTTTTTACATAAATTAGAAATTATTAATAGTAGCATTGATTACATGCTATTCATCACATGATTTTTTTCACAAAAGCACAAAACGTGATAGTTTAATATTTGGACTTTATATTAAAAGTAATAGTGAATCTTCAGGTATTATTTCTATATGCCATACTTTGTTATGACTATTACGTGCAGGTAACTCATTTTATCTCTCACCAATACATTTTATGGATAAAACATTAATATCATTATCATTTCACATCTGTAAAACTTGTAATACAGAAAGTCCAAATGATTAATTTTCTAGAAAACTGTGGAGGATAGAAAACGGTCCCCCAAAGAAATTCATACCCTAATCCTTGGAATCCACGGAGATATTGCTTTACATGGCAAAACGAATACTCCATATGTGAATAAGGTCATGGACCTTGACATGGAGTTATCCAGGTAGTCCCAATCTACCTGCAGGAACACTTTTCCCTGATGTAAGTAGAGGAGGGGAGATCAGAGAATTTCAAATCATGAGAAGGATTCAACCTACCACCACTGGCTTTTAAGATGGAAGAAAGATGGGCAGGAGCCAAGAAACATAAGTGGCCTCAAGAAGCTGAGAATAACCCAACTCCTACCTCGTTTGCATTCTCGGCATACTTTTTTTTTTTTTTTTAAGACAGGGTCTCACTCTGTCATCCAGGGTGGAGTGCAGTGGTGTGATCTCGGTTCACTGCAATCACTATCTCCGATCAAGCGGTCCTCCTGACTCAGTCCCACCGAGTAGTTCGGACTACAGAAGCGTGCCACCGCGCCTAATTTTTCTATTTTTTGTAGAGACAGGGTTTCACCATGTTTCTTGGGTTGGTCTCAAACTCCTGAGCTTAAGTGATCCACCTGGCTTGGCCTTCCAAAGTGCTGGGATTACAGGCGTGAGCTACCACACCTGGCCCAGAGCATACTTTTTAATACTTCACAGTGTGATTTCTGCTTCTTAACAAAGAGATCATATTCATTAATCCATATTTGTATTTATCTTTACTTTTCTTTTTTGCTACCTCTCTGAATGTCCATGGTAATGTAGTTGTTTCATTAGCATGTATTCATCAGTGCTTCTAAGCAAAATATTCAAAATATTTTTAGCTGCCCTTCACTTTGAATCATATTTTTCAGAGAAACAAAGACATGATAGTGAATAACATTTCTTGTTTCAACTATTTAATTTGAATAGTCAAAAATTTTATGCAATGAAAACATTAATTAAGCTAAAATAACATACAGAAGTGTGTTTTCCAATGAGATGTATGGAAACTAGCAGACCTACACACTATTAAACTTTACAATTAATCTTGAAAGTACACATAATTGCAAGAGGCAAGCTAGCTGATTTTCTGCACTTTCTATTCAGAATGCACACTATCCAGGATTTGTCACATGAGGTATCTAATGTATCACAGTACAAGTATTTACATGGAAGGGAACCATTTATGAAATATTTATACTTTTTACTCCAATAGCTACATCATTTGCATATTTTCCAAGAACCATTAATTACCCACAGATTCTAGGTTTGATGATGATAAATTCAAAGATACCAAGAATCAAAATAATTTTTGCTAACAAATACTATTATTACATTTTAGGTCTACCTTTGGTAAGTTTACAAGGTGATTCAATCAGGTCACTGTCCTTTCACTCCGACTTGTATACCCCTTTTGTAAAGAGAGTGAATGGATTGTAGGCCTGTCATTAACCTTTTCTTTCCATAAACATAGTATATGTATCTTAAGATTTACTAACTTCCTTTTTATGGCTGCATAGTATTCCATGGTGTATACATGCCACATGTTCTTTATCCAATCTATCATTGATGGACATTTGATTCCATGTCTTTGATATTATGAATGATGCTGCAATGAACATAGACATGCATGTGTCTTTATGATAGAATGATTTATATTCCTTTAAAAATTTTGCTAATTTGTCTTCCTTAAAATCAATTGAATTTGGCATATATAAACATCCACATACTGAAAATTGATGGCAAAGAAATTTTATTAACAGCATTGAATCCAAATATTAATTTGTGATTTAACTAAGTTTTCAAAATTGCTATTCTTATCTTCTGCTTCATCTTATCAAAACTTTATTCAGCCCTTTCTCCTTCATGCCCCTGAACTTTGGCCTGCCCCTTAGCCTGAGAAAGCTCTAAAATTCAGAACATCTTCCCCATCTTTCTCTCTCTCTCTCTCTCACACACACACACACACACACACAAACACACACACCCCTCAGCTTATCCCAAGAATCAACTGATCACAATCATATTTCCTATCAAATCGTATCAATCATACTGTTTGCTCACTGCCTCTTGCTTGCCCACCTTTCCTTTCTTCTAGGTCTACGTATTCCTGCATATAAAAGAAAAGGCTTTCACTGTTTGATTTTGAGATGCTTTTAGTTTTCTGAGATCAGAGCTCTTCCCCTATTGCAATAGACTTTTTGAATAGTCTCTCCTCATCTAAGTACATATTTGTTTTTATTTGACAGTTTCTACCCCCAAAATTTAACTTGTTGCAGTTACCAAATTATTTAGTTTTCACAATATATTTGTGAGTATACTGTTAAGATATCTCATAAAGTACATAAGTATTGTCTTTTACCGCAGAATTTACAAACATTGATTTCTGGAGTCAGACCTAATTCCAAATATCAACAAGCTACTTATCTGGGCAAGTCACTTAATCATGGTCACCAAAATTTCATTTTTAAAACGTCTTATATGATTGGTATAATGTTTAAATAAAATAATACATTAAGATTTATCAGATTAGCTCATGCATAGAATGATTCCATTTTAATATGTATATTTCTTCACACTAGCTAGTTTTGACTATATTACTCATAATGAATGAAAAAACCTGTTTTATTTCAATATCTCTAAAATGTTCAATAATAATTTGACATCAAATATATTAAAATTTTACCATTTAATTCGACATTTTATTTCCTATATTCAACTGAAAATAAATTGCACATTTTCAAAGCAAAATGAGTGGCATTTAAATAAATTAGAGAATTATTTTACAATTTGTCATTGTATGGGTACTTGTTTTACTAAAAAATAATGACATAAGGAGATTACTGTTAAAACAATAGGCACCTTACTTAGCAAACTTCTAACTTTGTAGCCTAGAATGCTGGACTTACTCTTTTCTTATGTTAGTAACAAAAAGTTAATTAGATGTAATTTTGAGAGAAGCTGTATATATTTATTTGTATATTCTGTGATGAAGGAAAAAGGATCTTAATGTAATTGAAATGAAACTGCAGTTAGCTGAATTAGCTGATAATGGAGTAATGCTAGAAATTCAACAGTTTTATAAACTCCATTCTTACAATTTCAATATTATAGGTAAATTCTTGACTACATACTGGTTTAATGATGAACTATATCATTGTGATTCTTAAGCACAAATCGCAGTGACTATATTATGAATAGAGTATATTTTAATGTTGTTTCTCTTTTTATGTTTGTGTTTTTTAAAAATAAATTTTATTGTGTATCTTTGAGGTATACAGTATGATGTTATGAGGTACATATATATATATATATATATAGTAAAATAGTTATTTTAGTGAAACAAATTAACATATCCATCATCTCACATAGATACCCATTTCCCAAGCCCTCTGGCAAGAGCAAAAATTTAATTAGCAAAAATCCTGAATACCTGATTATTAACTGTAGTCTTTTTGCTATACATTAGGTCTTTAAATTTGTTCGCCCTATGTATCTCCTACTTTGTATCCTTTGACCCATGTGATTTTTCTTAAACTATGGCTGTGAATGAATGTCTACAAAGTCATTTTAGTGGGTTTTGATCAGCATGAGAAACAGGGAGAAAGAGAGTGTGTGCACGAGAGAGAGAGTACTATAGAGTGAAATAGAATAAATAATAGAAAAGAGAATATTTTATGTGAAACTTGTATTTCTTTATGTAACTGAATTAATTTCTTTCAGCATATTTCTGTACCAAATAAAAATCATAAAAGATTAAATGTTCAGCTTTACTCCCTGATGAAAAAGACATTTGAACTTCAGATTCTAAATTTTTACCTAAGAAATCTAATCAGATAAGATGAAATACCCTAAGTGGAAAATTAAAGGCCCATCTTGATTGTTAAAAAGCAAAAGCTACACAGCAACAAGAGAGCCACGTTTCTAGTAAAAGATGTTGCAAGATTGATGGTAATTATTTGAAGAAAACGACTATTTAAAAGAACCAGCTCTTGGTTATGCTTTTACCATATCTCTGAAACTATTCTACTATAAAAAATTGGGACAAAACTATAGCTTCAGCTTCATAACCTACTTCATAGCACTAAATACACATTTTGGGTAAGCTCTGATATATTATTTGGCATCACTTAGTAAAGAGTAACTTTCTCTTACAGGTTTTTCTCCAGCAGAAACTCTTTCAGATAGATTTTTACCTGTTTGTAACCCTCTGTCTATCTAGTAGTTTTGTTTAAAAAAAAAAAAAGTTCTCATTGCCTATCTGTGACTATGCTGGTATTAAAAGCACATTATTCTTTGCAAAGATGAATTTCTGTGTCCTGAAGACTACTGTAATCCTCTGCCTCTGAAAGATTATGACTTTTCTTTCCCTAATGACTGTCACCATGGTATCAAATTTGTGATAAAGGTAGAAGAGGTGCAGAACTAAATGAAGATATATTTTATTTTTTCTAACATGAAATCTTATCTTCTGGGTAAGTTATATTAAATAAATATAGAGCATAAATAATATGTTTTTATAAATGTGTTGTATATTTTAAAGTTTTTTCTAATATGCACAATACTTATTTTTAATGAATACTAAGAAAATTCTTTACTCCTCTGCTTCCCAACAACAACCTCCTGGTAAATCTGTAAACATGGGAGATAAAAAGTATAAAAATATTTAAAGTACTCAGATTGAAAATGGCAGTAATGTTAGAATATTATATCAGAATATTGAAATATTATTATTCTTCCCTTAAAAAGTAAGCTTTGTCCAGTTATTAGCTGCTCTATTTTAAATTTTCCTCCTTTAGTGTTTTTAAAACGTATTTTACACAATAATGAAGCATTAAAACTACATTTAGGCCAGGCACTGTGGCTCACGGCTGTACTCCCAGCATTTTGGGAGGCTGAGACGGGCAGATCACCTGAGGTCAGGAGTTCAAGATCAGCCTGGCCAGCCTGGCGAAACCCCATCTCTACTAAAAATACAAAAATTAGCTGGGCGTGGTGGCAGATGCCTGTAGTCCTAGCTACTCGGGAGGCTGAGGCAAGAGAATTGCACAAACTTGGGAGGCGGAGGTTGCAGTGAGCCAAGATCATGCCACTGCACTCCAGCCTGGGCAAAAGAGTGAGACACCATCTCAGAAAAACACACACACACACAAAAAAAACCCACTATTTTTATATATTACTATTTTATTATTCAGTTTATATCCGTATAATAACAAGCATGGTAAAATAATTGTTTGAATATGTAAATATTACTTTTCATAAATTTCATTTTAGATTGATTACTTATAATAGTCAATTCAATAAGAAATATCCCTTATATAAATAGCCATCATTTTCAAGCCTATTCATTATTATTGCTATTATATATAGCCCAATAACCATTTCGTGTTAAATATATAATTGATCTAAATATCTATTCTTTAATGTTCTCCCAAGGCCTAAAGTTTTATTTCATGTGTAAATTTTTATACACATATAATATTTGAATTTCAAAATATAGTGTATATACCCAAATATATATTAAAATTGCTTACCTATTACTATATCTGTATCTCATCATATTAAAGTGAAACTTGTACTTATGTTAGTACCACCATTAACCATAAAACAAATCATAGATGTATATCTATGAGAGACTTGAAAAGCAAAACTCAAGAGATTTGGACCTTGATTTATATTGCAACTAATTATGAAATTGGTTTACCTTCAAGATTTGTTTTGTATAGAAACCTAAGAAAATTCTATTTCAATGCTAACTAACTCACTTCATAATTATTTTAGAGTAATTCATAATACAATTTCTATTAGGTGTAATAGTGGTATAATAGGCAGGGCACGGTGGCTTACGTCTGTAATGCCAGCACTTTGGGAGGCCGAGGCGGCCAGATCACAAGATCAAGAGATCGAGACCATCCTGGCCAACATGGTGAAACCCCGTCTCTACTAAAAATACAAAAATTAGCTGGGCATGGTGGTGGGCACCTGTGGTCTCAGCTACTCAGGAGGCTGAGGCAGGAGAATCCCTTGATCCTGGGAAGTGGAGGTTGCAGTGAGCCGAGATTGCGCCACTGCACTCCAGTCTGGCGACAGAAAGAGACTCTGTCTCAAAAAATATATATATAATATATATAATAGTAGTGGTATAATTGGATTGATCATAATAAAATCTGTAAAAATAACATCAATGATCAAATGTATTAAGACAGTGAGCTAAATAAAATATAAGATACTCTTGCTATGAAACTAATTAGACAGAAGAGGAAGTAGACTTTAACAGTTTGGAGAATTAGAAAAAGTCTATAGTAGGTGCATCCATGTTTCTGGAAGGGGAAATATACCAAGTTGAGAATGTACATTTCTGTTTAAAATAACCTGTGTATTTTGTGTCTTATTAATCTCTTACCTAGGGCTTTAGAACAATGTAATAATGATGCCACAATAATGAGCTTATTATCCGCAAGAACTACTTTAATTTTTATTTGTTTCCAATGGCCACAGTGTAGAATGTTCTCTTTAGATTATAAATGCATATTATAGGTCTTATTATAGACAAATAATTGTGAACAAATCAATTCAAATATATCAAAGAATCTCAAAATATCTTTCTCGATATCAGTAAGAAAGTATTACTTTCGGCAGGGAAAACAAGCCGGAATTTCTTTAGTGTTTTAGTTTGCTTCTATCTGTAGGAATGTACTTAACATCTTGAATCAATGCATGCTTTTTTTCCTATATTTGTTCCCTAGGATGAAGTCTGATTATCTGCTGAGTTTGTTTTATCCATTTTTCTAAGGCTGTGTTACATGTATAGGCCATTTGCCATTTCTTCACTTCGTCCTGAAATAATTTTCCTTCTTGATGGTCAAAACCAGACAATAAACTTTTTTCCTCAGTAAATTTCTCCTCTTTAAAGGCAAATTTAGTGTGATCTTGGAGTGTAGACGAGTGTAAATGTTGGTCCTATAAACTTGCAATCTATAATTTGAGTTACAGAAAAGTGAGATTGAGGCTGTCAACATAAAAAAAAAAGAGAGAGGCAAACCTCAGAGCAAAAAGTTTTATTTAGGAATATAAAAACAATAGACTTGCAATTTAGAGCACACATACAGACATGGGTGGCCTTTGCTATGCCCAGAGGACAAAGATTTTTTTTTTTTCTTTTTTGGTTAGGGTTTTGCTGGAGAAAGAAGTGTTTACACAA
Source organism: Homo sapiens (assembly GCF_000001405.40). Taxonomy (NCBI): domain Eukaryota; kingdom Metazoa; phylum Chordata; class Mammalia; order Primates; family Hominidae; genus Homo; species Homo sapiens. Next base: position 102,962,125 of record NC_000006.12, on the reverse strand, counting down.
GTTGTTTTAAAACCTCTTGGTTTAAGTGGTGGCAATGACTAGGTAAAATTTGTAATCTTAAAGTGATAGCAGACTGTTTTGTTGGATTGGGCTTGAGAGACTGTTTCAGGCAAGTGTTCATGTATAATCTACTAGCTGTCCTTTTGCTGATAGATATGGTTTGGAAAAAAAAAATTGTGATACTTTCTGTTATCAGGCAAATCACACATGTGAGCCCTTTCTTCAACATCTTCTCAGGTTCCAAATTGCCAGAGTTTGACACAAGTGATTCCATTTTGAATCTGTCAAGTTTTATAATGAAAACTCCCCAAAAATTGCATTACATTGAGCAGCAAGAAGAAGGAATGGAAAAAAATGACAAAAAATGAAGAAAAGAAATTCAGGTGTGTTGGGGCAAAATGAAGAAGAAAAACATAAAATCATGCGAGAAAAGCAGCAGAAAGAGATGAAAGAGATAAATCTAGAAGATAGGCTTGTTTGGTGTTTTCTGAAGAGCAAACTAAGTTCAGCCATTTGTAACATAACAGCAGGTATATTGTTCTGAGATATGCTCTGTTGTTAAGAAATATTGTCATTGTGTGAATGGCATAGAGTATACTTGCACAAAGCTAGATGATATAGCCTACTACACACCTAGGCTATATGATATTGTTCCCAGGCTACCAACCTGTATAACACATTATGGTACTGAATATGATAGGCAATTATAACACAATGATATTCGTCTATATAAACATATCTAAACATGGAAAAGGTAAAGTGTTGCACTACTATGTTACAATGACTATGAGACATTATTTGGTGATATAAATTTTTCAGGTCTTTTATAATCCTATGGGACCACCATCATATATGTTGTTCATCATTGACTGAAACATTACATTGGTACAAGACAGTAGCAGAAACTATTTCCTCTTCCTGAATACAGTTATTACATAGACAAAGTCAAATATCGTAACTGTCTGTGGTAGACGAATCCTATATCATCAAAGGATACAAAAAAGAGAAGACCGAAAAATAAGTATCACTAAGAAATTGTAAATCTTTTTTTTTTTTTTTTGACACAGAGTCTGGCTCTTGTCACCCAGGCTGGAGTGCAGTGGCAGGATCTTCAACCTCCACCTCCCAGGTTGAAGCAATCTTCCTGCCTCAATCTCCCAAGTAGCTGGGACTACAAGTGCCTGCTACCACACCTAGCTAATTTTTGAAATTTTAGTAGCGATAGGGTTTCACCATGTTAACCAGCTGGTCTCGAACTCCTGACCTCAGGTGATCTGCCCACCTCTGTCTCCCAAAGTGCTGGGATTACAGACGTGAGCCATTGCGCCCGGCCAAGATGGTGTAAATCTGGTATGCATACGATGAGGCTCTAGATAAAGAGGGATGAAAATAATTACCCCTTTGAGGCTTTAAGAAATTCTTAGCTGTCAAGCTGCAACTTCTTTGCCAGAGGCCATATTAAATTTTCTCAGAGAGGCAGTACAAATGACTTTGGGAGTTATCAGTTTCTTTGAGAATAGAGATTATATTTTTTTAAGGGGGAGAAAAATATTACCAAAAACTTCTGAGCATGAAATTGACCTGAAGAAAATTTAAACACTTCAACTAAGGAAGTAGTCACTATTCAAATTGATTTCTGAGTGTGATTATTAATAAACTTCACATAGTCCTACACTAAAGCTGCACCAAAATCTGGAGAGATAGCTATAGAGACAAACAGTGCTAACAGAACTGACTTCTTTGTATGATTCTAGTAGAAATCATTTGTGAGGGGAAAGCAATTATTCTTACTCTATTTGCACAAAATGCATGCTGAACAACAGGAATCAAATTATCATCAGAAAGAGCCCAAAACAATCTTAATAGCAGAGAGTAGACTTAATACATAGCAGCAGAACCATAGATACAAAACTGCCATCACCTTCAATTCTGGCCTTGAAGGAATTCAGTGTAGTTTTTGAATGAAGGCAATATAGCCTAATGAGAAGTGAGATATCTAAGGAAAATAGTAACAACAGTGAGTGGAAAATCCTAAAATCCCTAATGCATTTTTTTCACTTTTAACATCTCTAATGTCAGGGTACATAATTCAATCAGTGATATCTTAACATTGTTGATCGGATGGCAGTCACGAAAATTTTATTGCCTGTTCATGTATGGATTTCTTTGTCCTACTGTGAACAATATATTTGCAACTTCTTGTTATAAAATCAAGAGATTATTAAAGAAGCACTCAGAGGAAAGAATATAAATGTTAGTTGTTATCTAAATACCTGTCATTAAGCCTTCCAGTAAAATTAAGTAAGTTTTAGCACCCAAATATGTAGAGAGGCTGTCAGGGTCTTGGAAAATATCTTAAGAGAGGCAAGTAGAACACTATTATAAGAAATGTAGCATTACAAATGGTACATAGAGAATTACACCATATACATAAACATATATACACACATATATGCATACATATACAAAGGTGTTAGAAGATGTCATTCTAGCATATTGACTACTTAAAGACACTTGAAAAACAACAGCTGCAAAAAGACTACTTAGACCTTCATGCTATTTTTTAAGGGCAGAAAATGAAATTTCCCTGTGAAAGACACTCTCACTTATACTAGAAGGAAAGGCAACATCCTTATTCTCAAGACAGAAAATAAAAACAAAGAATTCTATACCGACTTTGTCAAAATAACACTTATCTTCTGTATTACTCAGGGTTCTTTAGGGGGAAAGGACTAATAGGACAGATGTACATATGAAAGGGAATTTGTTCAAGAGTATTGACTCCCAGGATCACCACGTGAAATCCCACAATACGATGTCTGCAAGTTGAGGAGCAAGGAAGCCAGTCCGAATCAAAACCTCAAAAGTAGGGAAGCCGACAGTGCAGTCTGTGGCCTAAGGCCAGAGAGCCCCTGGCAACCCACTGGTATAGATCCAAGAGTCCAAAAGCTGAAGAACTTGGAGTCTGATGTTTGAGGGCAGGAAGCATCCAGCACGGGAGAAAGATGCAGGCCAAAGATTGAGCCGGTCTCAACCCTCCATGTTCTTCTGCCTGCTTTTATTCTAGCCACTCTGGCAGCTGCTTAGATTGTGCCCACCCAGATTGAGGGTAGGTCTGCCTCTCCTAGACCACTGACTCAAATGTTAATCTCCTTTGACAACATCCTCACAGACACACCCACGAACAATACTTTGCATGCTTCAATCCAATCAAGTTGACACTCAATACTAACCATCACATCTTCTAAGCTCCTCACGTAATTTAGTTGTTTCTTTACAATTTACCACTGTTTGTTCAATTCAGTATACCTGTATAAGTAACTGACTCTGACTTCTCTGGGGTCTTCATTTCTTTATGAAAGTTTCTATCTCACATAAAACTTGCATTAGGTAAATTTCTATGATTTTCTCTTGTTAATATACTTTATGTCCATTTAATTCTTGGATCTATCTCGGACTCTTAGAGGAAGGCAGAGGAATTTTCTGCCCCTGCTGTAAGTCAAAAAGTGATCCAGAAGAGTCACACCTCAAATGTGAAAAATAATTAAGAATATTATAATAAATGTATTTTGTTTGTCTTATTCATTTTATACATGTGTGGAATTAATATTATTTTTAAATATCTGTGTAAGTCTGAGTTCTTCCATGAGGATAAAACTTCTAAATTATAAGAAAAATTTAGTTGAGAGTATTCTTTCTTTTATACCAGTACATGGAATAGATGTATGTTACAATCTATGGTACCTTAGAGTTAATGAAAAATAGTATTTGAAAGTAATAAATGAGTAATGTGGAAGGCCAATATTGATTGTTGAAATAAACATGGAGAACTGAAGTGATGAAAAGTCACTCATTGTTAGCTAAAGTGTAACAGAGAAGACAACTTCCATAGAAACTGCTTCAAAGTGATTAAGCCAGAGAAGAGATTTTATAGGGTTTTAGGGAGAGGAAGATACTCTGAAGATATGAAGAAAGGTAACAAAAATTCTGAGAACAAAAACAAAAAAATAAAATTTCAAGCTCTCAGGCATTCAGGTTTACAGCAATATAGAAGATCTTTTGACAAGAGAAAAAATAAATATAAAGAAGTGGGAGTCGGGGAGGTATCCCTGTATCTCTATGTGGAGTTATTTCTCAGAAACTTAGCTTTTACTAGAGGCCAAGTGGAATTTTCTAGCTGAAGTGAGTGAAGCTTGGGGAAAAATAATATGTAAACAGAGGAATTTGAAACAATTCTGGAAAATACAATTTTTCAGACTAGAGGCTTCCCCACACGACTGAAGACATGCTATGTATTTTTTACTTACTTTTATATACCCAATGCCTAGAAGACTATTGAAAACATAGTAATTATTTAATAAATATTTCTTAATGAATTTATAAGTGAAATGAAATCTAAATAAAGGTAGTATGCAAAATACATGTAAACTATATCTCCTGATATGCCTGTGCCTTACAGTTGAATCAAAAGTTTGGCTTTTGTTATCCTAGACATAAATGGCGTTAATGAAGACATAACTAATTATATGAATCATAATTTTAAAGAAGTAGGAAAAGGACGGGGAAAAAGAGGAAGAGGAGGGAAAAAGAAGAGGACAGAAAATTCTTTGTAAGAAGAAAAACTTTTTAGTCCTATGGCAAGATGCCTATTTATCACTCAGGTTATTATAAAGAAGACATTGTGCAATGTAGAGAACAGTATTCTCAATAATATAAACAATATGTACTAAAACAATTTCATGGAAGTATTGTTTGAGACATTCCTCCATGTTTGCAAATGATATGCTAAAACATAATTCAGTAAAATCATTTTCATGATGTTTGTGAACGATTCTGTCCTCTTACATTGCATACACTTTGTCTGAATTCATGTAGACATTGATATTCTATTCTATTTATTTCTGCACTTATTTACTGAGGGATGTCAAAAGAATAGCAAGCAATAGATGACTAGGTTCTGGTTCTCATGAAACTTATAGTATAGCATGTCCCAAGCTATTTTTCACTAGAAACTAATAGTTCATATGATATTAAGAGCTATTCTACAAAAAGTAAGACAAGTAAACAGAAAACAAAAAAAAATTAATCAGTATATTTTTGGAGGATGAAATAAAATAATAAATGTTTACATAATATACACCTAATTAAGGTATAAATTATAAAGACTTAAATAATTTATGCAAATTCAGCTTAAAATGTTTCTAAATATCTCAGTTGCTGAAGATGTCATAAGAAAATTGAGTTTCATTCATGAATGTTTTATTGGGTCAGATCGTTTAAGCAATTTTTTTAAATTTATGCAGGATGTATTACTTTTACACCTTTGCTATAATAATTCTTATGTGAGCTGTATTATAAATCATACATATTACATGAGTGTACCCTGCCTTTCATAGCAAAATCCAGTATTAAGAAATTTGATAACAAAGTGATTCTGCAAAGTGACACGTGGATTATATAAAACTGAAGAAACACTTGCAATTATTTTTAATGATAATATTAAAAATACATATTTGTATTTCAACTTTGTAGAATACACATGAAAATAAAAAATGCATATAGAAAAGAATTCTAAATCTATATTTTATGCTAAAACTGTCAGTAAAATATTCTATAAACATGTTTTTATGGTCAAGTACATAAATAAAATATGTCCTCCAACACTGTAGATTTTAAATAACAAGTCAATTTATTAAATTTTATTTATATGTTTCAATGGTATTTTTAATATTCCACTAAAACACTGCTTGTCTTTTAAAGTCTGTTTTCAAGAATCATTATATGTTCCTTTTTGAAAACTTCACAGGTAATCTGACATATTCACCTGTATTCAAGATATTCAAAAACCTTATTTTGACAGGATTAAGTTGAGTTTTCTCCTTTGTGTTTGTATACCTAACATGATTATCTTTGATCCCTCTCTTATCTTTACTGTCATTCTTTCTTTGTTCTCTTTTTTGGATTTTTGTAAAGCATGCATTCACCTTCACTCCCTTTTAATTTTTGACTATGCCTTCCTGTGCATCTTTGTTGTCATATTCCTGATGTCTCTTTGTGGTTTTCTTTTTATCTAAATATTCTATTCCATTCAGCTCTTAATCTTTTAAACCTACATTATCAACACTGTCTCTTTTCATCTTCTCTTGGTGTTCCTTTTTGTTGTGGCTCTTGATCTTTTGGTTTAGTTTCCCACCTTATCAAAAATGCTTCAGTGTCCTGCTTTGTTTTATGATTAAGAATCTTAGATGAAAAATAATTTCTAATAACTTGAAGAAAGTTGTCAAAGATGTAAAACTTTTTAATGAGATATACTAATTTATTAGTTTAATGTCAGATTCAATTTAATTATGAGGTGTTTTCCTGTGTTTATTGAAGTACTTCACATGAAAAACAAATCTACTTCATCATGTACAGCCTTCCATATGAAAAAATAAAAATTCTCCAAAAGCACAAATTGAGTATAGGGAAATCTAGTTAATAGTTACCTATAGTGTGAAAAGAAAAGGGAAGGGGTTATTCTCTTTGTTCAAATAAAACTTTCTTTTTATTTCTTTATAGTCTTTGACCTATACATTTAGTATTGTCAATAGCTTTTCTTAAAAATATTTATAAGGTTATAAAATAATATTGCCACATTTCTGTAATTGATTGTAATAATAAACCAAAGTTCATTTGGGATATATAAACCCCAAACATTCCTAGGAGCAGAGAGAACTAAGCCACAAAATATTAAAGTCAACATTACAAGATAGGAGATCTGCAAGATAAAGTCAACATTACAAGATAGAAGATAGGAGATCCCTTTAGTATTAAATGCTGTGAAACCCAGGAATGTGAACAACTAGAATACAAAGCAGGTATATTTTTTAAAAAGTGAAATATATATGTGTATATATGTATATGTGTGTATATCTATGCATAGATATACATATATCAGATATACCATTTGCTAACCACTGTGCTAGATACTGTTGACATGTGGTAATATAAAAATGATTTTTACTTTATTCTTTTGTGTTGCCTTCAAATTTAAAACCATATTTACACTGTTACTGAAAACCTCCTATGAAGAAGTCTCTGTGATATGATCTGATACCCAAAGATGAATAAGGCATCGTGCTTGTTGCTATGGTGTGGGAAATTTAGAGGGGAAGACAGGCAGAGAATTATAATGCAGACTGTGGGAACTGCTATACTGAACAGGGAGGCATGAAATGTTAAGGGAATAATATAGGCCAGGGAGACAATGAATATATATATTGATATGGCTACACATTTATTGAATGTTGAACAATTATACAGATATATAATTTATGGTAGCTTACTGAATTTTTTTTAAAGAAGAAAAACTTTCTTGGGGAGATGGTCTGTTATGGAATAAATTAAATCTCCCTCCAAATTCATGTGGTGAATTCCTAACTTTCTGTACCTCGGAATGTGATTGTGTTTGGAGACAGAGCATTTAATGAAGTAGTTAAGTCAAAATAGGGTCCTAAGGGTGGGCTCTATATGACTGGTGTCCTTATAAGAAGAGTATATTAAAACACAGAGAGAACAGACAAGCACACACACACACACAGAAGATCCTGGTGAACATGTAGTGAGGAGGTCATTTGCAAACCAAGAAGAGAGGCTTCAGCAGAATTCAAACTGGCCCACAACTGGATTTCAGATTTCTGACCTCCAGAGCTGTGAGAAAATAAATGTCTGCTGTTTATGCCACCGAGTCAGTGATATTTTCTTACGGCAATCCTAGCAATCTAATACAGAGTCTTTACAATCGTCTCAAAAATAGTTTCAGCTTTTTGTCTAATATTTGACCCTTTTTTCTGTATTTTGATTCATATGTTATTTATAAGCTAGTTAGCATACAAATATTTTAATATGAGATAATTTTAATATTTTTAATATAGGGCCCCCATCATGATAAATAACTATTTTCCCTCAAAATACAGGTTCAAACTCTTTTGAAGAGTGGGGAGATTTTCAGTAAAATTGTATTAGTCTGAAATGCATCAGCAGGTAATTTGAAGATAAAAATGTACTGTGTTCATGAGTATACATATTTTAAAGATTCTTGTTTTAAGTTCAGCAGAACCCACTTACATTATTTTATTTCCTGGTCGTTGTTTCTGATTTAATCAATGCCTAAGGCAAGAACCAGATTTCTTTTTTGTACTTTTAGAGCTTCTGTTTAAAGGTGAGTAGTAATATACTCCTGAGAATGGATATCGTAGCTTGTTTATGTAATATTCACAGAGACTAGCACAGGGCTTGGTATGGTAGGTATGCATAATGTATTAAATTTGAATTAGTGCATACACTATATATGCATATGTGTATATATACACATACAGATACAGCATATATACATATGTGTATATATACATATATATTATATATATATACATATTTGTATATAGACATATACATAATTATATACACAATGTATATTTGTATATATAAATATACATATGTGTGTATATATAAATATACATATGTGTGTATATACAAATATACATATGTGTGTATACATACACATATACACATGTATATATACTGTATGCACTAACTCAAATCTAATTCATTATGCATACTACATACATATACATTATATATACGTATACATATTTGTATATAGACATATAAATAATTATATACATAATAAATGTATATGTGTATATATAAATATACACATGTATGTATATATACTGTATGTACTAATTCAAATTTAATTCATTATGCATACTTATACACACACACACGTATATGTCATTTTTCTTCCTTTAACAATTTTTTACCAAAAGATGTAAGCATAATTGGGTAGATTAAACTGCAATGTGCTAATCCTCTCAATGAGGTGCTCCAGTGTAGGCTGGAAGATGTCTTGGTGAAATTGGTATAGAATCAATATATTTGACTTTTACATTTCTATTTTAACAGCTATCTTTTAGTGAGCTTATGCTATAAGCCAATACTGTGCTGAGTGCTTTATATACATAAATCCATAAAATCTACATCTTTATTTTCCCTATACCTCCTAATACAGTTTTGGTAAACAGTTTTCAACATGGTATATGTGCAAGTTATTTTTAAAGCAGTTACAGCATAGCTATAGATATTTATATATGGTATTTAAAAATATATCATGATGCAATCTGATATCAGTGAAGGAGGGAATAAACATACTTGAGAACCAAACTGTCTATGACCATTTTTATCTTAACTAAATAGTCCTCATTTCTGCTGGTCAGGAATTAACTCTCTAAACTGGTTTCTCTGCCTCACACTGATTTCTAGGAGTTGAAGATAGGAACAATGGAAAATTTGCCACGTCCTAGTTCAAAAAAAAAATAAAAGGATTTCTAGAGTAGATGATAATCCATATTTTAGTGAGCCTTTATGCCTGTTATGTAAAGAACTAAAGAGCGTGTGCTGAGATAAATTGTTCTGAATTATAAAGGGCAGGTAATAGAGTATCAGGGAGAGGCCCAGGATATGCTCTCCATAAAAGGGAAAAGAAAATCCTGAGAGTCAGAGAAGGGTAGAGAAATAGGATGAGAGGGATAGAAAAACTATGAGAAATATGTGTTATTTATTTATTTATGTATTGGTTGTTCATGTTGATTGAATCCAAATCTCTCCTGTGGCTCTAAACTCTCAACAGAGTCTGCTACATGCCCTGTAACACAGTCTCAATTTGTTTGTTTGCTTTTGGTAGAAAATAAGGAGGAAAGGCCATAGTTTCATCTCTGATGTAGCATTACATGGAAGAGAAAGTGCTGCTCCAGAGTCATATATAATACAAAAACTAAATTTACATTCAAGTCGAAAGTTCTTTTGTAGATAGAACCACCAAACAAATACACAACCAAAAAGCCTAACATCCTTGAACATCTTCCATTTACCTCCAATCTCTGGAGAGATTAGGGAATTATGAAGATAAGGATGTTCCCCCATGAATGAGATGTGATTCAAAATATTTTGTTTGAATCTCAAAGACAAACTCTTTGGAATCCTTGAAAACTTATTGTTAAATTTAACAAATATTTTTTCTTTTCACCTCCTATATTCAAAATATTTAACATATTATATTAGGTCCAAAATATATGAGACTTTGAAGAAGCTTGATATGGGGTTTTATCCTTATAATGAACACAATAGGAAGCCCTTGAAGAGTGGTAAGCAAGAGACGTAATGTGATCTGATTTAAATTTTTCAGATTGCAGAATAGAACACTGATTACAAGGAGAGTCAGAGTGGATTCTGGGAGCTCAGCAGAATGGTATTTCCTTAGTTGAGGTAGAGGAAATAATATGGGCCTGGACAACATTGATAAAACTGTTAAATTTCCACTACAGAGAGAGAGAGAGAGAGAGAGAGAGTGTGTGTGTGTGTGTGTGGTGTATGTGTGTTAGGGTATGAAGACAGGTAGGTAAAATAATAAAAGAATCATTAGGCATTACAAAAAATGACATGGAAATAAGACTATAAAAATAACAATTAGAGAACTGGTTTCATCTCTGACAAGTAAATAGCTTGGGAGTCATCACTTTCAAACTTACAATAAAAAAATTCAGACCAACTGAAAACCAAGAACTTTTCTTGGAGTCATCAGAAAATTGAGGTTACAGAAGAAAAAAACCACCTCAAAATCTGAGAGGCAGGAAAGTCCAGATAGTCACAGCTTAGATCTACTTACATGGAGCAGAAGTGACTGGAACCATAAACTGGTAGGCACACTTAAGTAGCAATTCATACAAGTGAAGATCTGAGAAATATGCCCTGTGGCTCTGACAGGGAAATAAGAAAAGTATCACGTGAATGATATCAATATCTAGAATCATATATATAACACAAGCATCCTATTCAGGAGAAAAGACTTTGCTACAGCCTTATCATAGCTAGAGGAAGAGATTAGTCCCACTCCAGTTCCCTCCAGGCCTCTTGTCTTACCTATCAGGGGAAAAATGCACAAATACAGTCAACGGGATGTGGAACAAGAGGAATGCTCATAAATTGCCGCTCAGAATGCAAAATGACAGATACACTTTGGAAGACAGTTTGGCAGTTTCTTATAAATCTTCATGTAGTCTTACTATACACTCTAGCAATTACATTCCTAGGTATTTACCCAAGTAATTTAAAAAATTATGTTTACATAAAACCTGCATGCAAATTTTTATAGCAACTTTTATCATAATCACCAAAAACTGAAAGCAACTTAGATGTTTTTCAGTAGATAAATGTGTGAAAAAGTAACTTCTGTGGAAACGGTGAGTATAATCAACAATTTTTTATTGTATCTTTTTAAATATTGGTGGAATTGGAATGGTCCTATCACAAAGAAATGATAAATGCTTGAGGTGATGGTTACCCCAGTTACCCTCATGTGATTTCTACACATTGTATGTCTGTATCAGAATATCGTATGTTCCCCATGAATAGGTACATCTATTATGTACCTATAATAATAAAATAAACACAAAACTGCTTTTAATGCATACAGTGGAATGCTATTTAGTGATGAACAGAAATTAATTATCAATATACACAAAAGTTTGGTTGAATTTGGATGCATATCTCTAAGTAAAATGTCAGTTTTTGAGGTTATATTCTATATGATACCATTTACATAAGGTTCTGAAAGAGACAAAACTATAGAGACAGGAAATAAATAGATCAGGGGTTTGGAGTAAAAGGAGGACCAAATAGGTGAAGCACAGAAAAAAATTGGTGCAGTGAACCTATTCTTTATGACATACAGATGACAATGTAAAATGTAAAATTCATGTTTTCATGTTGTCTACATTTCTTTACATGGTGAATTGTGGATATGTGACATACATTTTCCCAAACCCTTAGTGTCATAGAGAGCACAGAGTGAACCTTAAAGTATGTAAATTTTTAAAAAATCAGTGAGGATACTAGGGATTTCAGAATGGATATGAAACTGTAAAAAAATATTCTGAATGTTTCATAAATATTTGAAAAAATCTAATTGATGGGAGTGGAAAGAAAAGTGCTGAACTGAGTCACTTTGGAAATTAGTGTAGTCTGTGAGACTAACCAGAAAAAGAATTGTGCATAGGTACTGAACTCTAATTAACAAGTTTTTTCTCATCAGAGTATTGGAAAACAATTCTGAAGCCACTATCCATGTATACTGCATTTGAATAATTCAGTATATGGATGGTAAATTGTGGCAAATCAGTATCCAATGGTTGGAGTGGGAGGATACAGGTAAGTGAGGGGAAGAGACTAGAATGATTCAGATGGTCATAAATTTGAGTTGGAGACACCAGTACAGACTCATATTTGGCTAGATTATATAAATACCTCTATATACATAGTTTAGAAAACACATATGGATAGGTACATCTATTATATACCTATATAATGCAGGTATATAATAGATACATATTATATACTCTTTCAGATGAAAGTTTCTGGAAGCTATGACACTATAGTAGCAAAGAGCATACATACCTTGTGCCTATATCTTGTTTTTTTAATACCATTCTTCAATATAAGAATGAGGGATATTT